>NW_025791781.1:0-300000 GCF_000001405.40 Homo sapiens | reverse complement strand
AATCCAGCCATCTCACTACTGGGTCTTTATTCAAAGGAAAAGAAGTCGTTATACAAAAAAGATACTTGCACATGCATGTTTATTGCAGCCTAATTCACAGTTGCAAAGATGTGATGAACCCAAGTGCCCACTGACCAATAAGTGAATAAAGAAAATGTAGTACATTTATACCGTGGAATACTACTCAACCATAAAAAGTAATAAAATAATGTCTTTTGCATCAACTTGGACAGAGCTGGATGCCATTATTCTAAGTGAAGTAACTTAGGAATGGAAAAACAAGTACAATGTTCTCATTTATTTACAAATGTTCTCATTTATAAGTGGGAGCTACATTATGAATATGCAAAGGCATACAGAATGATAAAATGGACTTTGGAGATTGATATGGTTTGGATCTGTGTCCCCACCCAAATCTCATGTCAAATTGTAATCCCAGTGTTGGAGGTGGGGCCTGATGAGAGGTGATTGGATCATGGAGGCAGAGTTCTCATGAATGGTTTAGCACCATCTCCTCAGTGCTGTTCTCATGATAGTGAATGAGTTATCACAAGATCTGGTTGTTTTAAAAGTTTGTAGTTCTTCCCCTGTCTCTTTTCCTTTTGCCCAGCCATGTGAAGACACCTGCTCCTGCTTTGCCTTATGCCATGAGTAAATTCTTCCTAAGGCCTCCCTGGAAGCAGATGCCGCCATGCTTCCTCTACAGCCTACAGATCTCTGAGCCAATTAAACCTTTTTTTTTTTAATAAATTACCCAGTCTCAGGTATGTCTTTATAACAGTTTTAGAATGGACTAATATAAAGTCTCAAAAGGGGAAGGATAGGAGACAGATGTGGGATTAAAACTACATATTAGGCACAATGTACGCTACTCAGGTGACAGACGCAATAACATCTCAGAATTCACCACTATATAATTCATCCATGTAACCAAAAGCTACTTGTACCCCGAAAGCTATCATTTTTTTTATTAAAAAAAGAAACTCTTTGCCAAAGGACACGATTCAGAAAGTGAAGATGAATTTATAGAGTAGAAGAAGATATTTGAAATGCAGAACAAAAATTGTCAAGTGGCCGGTACTGGAAGGCATAAAGACTGACCAAAAGTAAGAAATCAGGCAACCTAATTAAAAAAAAAATATGAGAGACTTCAGCAGTCACGTCACAAAAGAGAATATACATAAAGGCCAATAAAATACATGAAATGATACTCAATTTCATTTCTAGCCAGTGATGGACAAAGTAAAGCTGCAATGAGATATCACTGGTAGACATCCACTCCACCAGAATGTCCAACATTAACATGATTGATAAGGGAATGGTTTTGCAATGGTGTGGAAGGAGAGAAACTATCCCCCTGCTAGTGGGGCTATAATTTGGTACTATATTAGAAAACCATTTGACAGTATCTAATATGTTAAACAGATATATTTTCCATGACTCAACAAATCCACAGGCATACATCCAACAGAACTCAAGGCCAGTATGCGCCAAGAAATATATTCGAGAATGTTCATGACAGCCCAAATGTCTGTTAACAGTAATATGTATAAATAGCATGTAATATTTTCATTCAGTGCATGCAAATAAAATACACAATGACAACAAGAAACTTCACAGGTTTTTGAAGCCAGTCACTTGTGTTGTACAATTCAATTTCTATAAAGTCCCACAAGTGGGAAAAACTGAAATACATTGCTTATGGATTCATGTTTTGGTGGTAAAATTATACTTAAAAGCAAGGAAATGTTACCATAATATTTATACTAAGGGTAAAGTTTTAGCGAGATTGGAAGGGATTGCAATTATGTAGGGGAATACTGAGACCTTTTTCTGGCTGGCTGTGCTTTCATTTGACCTAGGTAAAGATTACACCAGTGTTCCACTTATAATGATTAATGATGTCACCCATTTATATTTAACTGACTTTTCAGCATGCCAGTTATATGTCACAATTTAAAAAGTTTAAAATATAAGAACAAAACATAAATATTCCACAGGGCACCCAAGGTAAAGGATTACTCTTGCATTGTGAATTTTCTAGGACATTAGGTTTGCTGGCATTTGTGTCTCTCATAACAATCATGCTATTCCTCTCCTGTTACGTGGCGGTCTCTGTTTTTTATTTGTTTTTATGTTTGGTGGGTGGATTTGGGAGGGTCATTGATCTAGTTCCATGATTGAGCACTTATTGCTAAATCAACTTAAGGAAATACCCTTAGTTAGAATCTGAACTAATCCATCAGGACTAAGCCATTCTACCCACAGAATTGCTATGACTAAAAATCTAAATCAGGAGTTGGAATCTGATCCAATTAAACCTAACCATGAAGTGAAATTTGTTGAGTCTTTTGAGAAATAGCACTTTTTAATCATTTGGAAGAATTACCTACAGTCATGAATTAGAAGCTTGGAACTGCTAGAACACATTTTCCCAACACGTGTGAGGATCTAGCCTTAAGAAAGAGAGAGAGAGATAGAAAAAAAAAAAAATCCCTTTCAATTGGAGAGACAAAGAAACTGGGTATTTGCCAAGCTACAGCTGTGAAATCAAAGTAAACTCAACACTTGCCCTGCCTATGGACTTCACAGTTTTGTGAATAATTACATTAATTTTATATCTTTTAAACCTGTTTACATTGTTGCATTTACTTAAAATACTTGTAACATTAAAAAGCCCTAATTAGCAAATGGGATCCACAAAATGGCATATAATTAAGATACTGTCATCTAATGTAATTGAAAGAATAAACAGAAGGTTGTTTTGAATTAAATATGTATCTGTGGCAAAGAACACTGCTCTGATATTTAAAGCTATTTTAGACCCACCTGTGAAAAGAGTTGGAACAGAGTATGAAATGTGACCTAGGGTAAGAGCATATCTCTCTTGGCTTTAGTTTTTTCATCTAGGAAATGAGGTTAAGATTAGAAAGCTGCCTCTTAGGTTTTCAAATGGCGGCATTATGGTTCAGCAGTTAAGAGCATGAACAAAGAAGATGAATAAAGTTGAATTTTAGGCTGGGCACGGTGGCTCACGCCTGTAATCCCAGCACTTTGGGAGGCTGAGGTGGGTGGATCACCCGAGGTCAGGAGTCCGAGAGCAGCCTGGCTAATACGGTGAAACCCCATCTCTACTAAAAATACAAAAATGAGCCGGGCATTGTGACGGGCGTCTGTAGTCCCAGCTACTCAGGAAGCTGAGGCAGAGAATCACTTGAACCCGGGAGTCAGAGGTTGCCGTGAGCCGGGGTCACCGCATTGTCCACACTGTACAGCTCCATCTGTACAATGTGGACAATGTCAATATTCTAGATTATGGGGTTTTAATGAAAATTAAAGGAGATATTTTATACAAAGCATTTTGTAAACTATTGAGTGTTTACTATATTCAAGAAAAAAATCACTGTTTTTCACAGCAATACTGCCTCAGGTACAGAACTAGAGATTTTGGCTTATGTATATTTCAAAGTCCTTTCCACCTCAGATTTTGTAGTCATCAATTTATGAAATCAATCATTTGAAAAGACAAGGGAATTCAAGGAAAATCTCGGTACTCTATATTAATATGTCAAATAGATACATTTGTATCTATGAAGACAGTAAATTAAGAAATTCTCCTGTTGTCCACATTCTCATTAGATTGGATGATATAAAATCGCCATCTCTATTGTTTAAACGTGGACAAATAGATTCCTGGCCTAAGCATTTAGGTATGGAAAGGGGGTTGCTAACTTAAGGCTGACTGAGAAGAGATCACTGGGAGCAGACCATGCTGTAGTTAAGCTTGTCATTCTACAAACTGGGTTGGTGAAACCAAAACACTGCTACCTCAAGCCCTCATCCAAGGTTCCCTCAGTGCAATGAACTATGCTATGAATTCACGACAATAAAAAATCCATTGTAACACCATGTTTTTAATTATACAATAATAGGAGCCATTTTCCTGTAAAATATTTTTGTGAGGGAGGATTCCTTATTAACATAAAGCTTTTATTTAAGTATAATAAAGAAATATGATGAGAAGAATATTCTCCTGAACTACTGAATAAGTTAAATTTTTTCCTAATATGCTTAATAATTTTGTACTGAATCTGATTTATCTATCTACTTGCCCTGGGCTATTTTATTCAATTCCCTGGTTTTCAGATTATCAGTTAAAATATAAATTTAATGAAGTGATGATAGGTTTTGACTTCTATAACGTGTGCCCTAAATTTAATCTGGTTAACAAAACATGGACTTAGCTCAAGAGGGCATATGTTATTCTAAATAATTATAGCTTTAAGAAGGCTGAACATAAATCTCCCAAATCCCAATATAACATGACATTTGGGTAACAGCAGTCCATGAAATTTGTTTCAATGCTCATGCATTCCCCTGTGTTATTTGCTACTACCTTTAGTTTTGCTTTGATCTAAAAATTGTAGAAAAACAAAAGCTAAAAATAAATATAGTCATAAAAAAATTTAAACACTGGTCACTGAAAAATAAATATAGCCCCTATGATTCCTTTTAAAAGTATGACTATTATAGGATAAAAATCTATCCTCAAAATGTATCTTAATCCTAAATCTACTCATATTTATATAAAAGGAAGATGATATTTTATGTATTTCATCATCCTTATAATACAATTATTTTATGTTTAAATCAACGTTTGATTAGCTATAAAATACTGAAGAGTAAATGAAAGCTTAAATTCCAGGGAAAATGTTTAAAGGAATGAATGGAGTTTTAACTTTTCAACCAATTAATCTAGAGTCACTTATACACAGAAGGGAAAAGAAAAAAATATTTGGCGAATTTAAGATACAGAACACAGAAAATTTAATGATCCATGGTTCAAAAGATGGCATCATTTCTCTGTAGGAAAAGAATGGTCTCTTGGGAAACAGAACAGGCAGGCCTCACTGGGTGTTTCTCAAAGCACTCTATTCATTTAAGAAGTCTTAGTTGAATATTATCCATTGACTAGAGTGAATTTTTCTGTTTCCATCTGCGGTTCATACAATCTCAGAAAAAATAATGCATTTCAGAAGGAGCTGAGAAAGTAACTTCTAAATTCCTCCCCACATTCATGATTACTACTGGGTTATCAGTCTGAATTGATTCTTAAAAATTCATTGATAGATTTAATATAAAATGAGTTCCAAGTGAAAGTTATAGAGGCATGAAGCCACATAGGTAAACACAGCACTGTATTTTCTAGGATTTTACCTGAAATCCTGTGACAAATAAGGCAATGGAGTGAGTTCTACATGTTTAAAGACTATTAATATCCTGTAATATAAATTGTTTTTCAATGTGCATTTTCATCATCTTTTCTATGCAGAAGTTTGTATGTGGTTGTTATGGTTTGGCTCTGTGTCCCCACCCAAAACTCATGTTGTGGTTCCCATAATTCCCACATATTGTGAAGGAACCTGGTGAGAGATGATTGAATCATGGAGGCAGGTCTTTCTCATGCTATTCTTGTGATAGTGAATGGGTCTCTCGAGTTCTGATGGTTTTAAAAATGGGAGTTTCCCTGCATGAGCTCTCTCTTTGCCTGCCGCCATCCGCATAAGATGTAACTTACTCCTCCTTGCCTTCTGCCATGATTTTGATTCCTCCCCAGCCACGTGGTGGAACTGTGAGTCCAATTAAACCTCTTTCTTTTGTAAATTGCCCAGTCTTTATCAGCAGCATGTCTTTATCAGCAGCATGAAAACAGACTAATACAGGGCTTATGTGTGGTTTTCTGAAATTTTTAATGCAGTCAAATCTTGTCATTATTTCTTTTTTGATTTCCGCCTCTGCGATCATGCTTAGAAAGTCATCCACAAACACATTGCCTCCTAGTACCTTACTTTGTATGAACTATCTTACTCTCCTGGATTTATTTTGAATGATGGTATGAGACAAATACCTAATTGTGTTTTTTAAAAAATCATTAGTCCATTGTACATAATTGCTTATTGAATTATTTCTCAACTGATTTTCTATAATAAATTTTTGTCAGAGACTCAATCCATTCATTGATGACATGTTTATTTTCAGTGCTATAGTTATCAGGCACTGTGCTAAGTTCAGGGAACACAATGGTAAGCAAACAGACTTATGTCCCCTCATAAACTTCATCACATCAAGAAGGAAGATATGTTAGCCCAGATTCACATATGCGGAATATTGAAGAAGAGCTTTTTAAATGAACCTGACCTAAATAGAAAGTCAAGAAAGTCTTCGAAGAAATGACGTTTAGGTGCAATCTAGGTGATGACTAGGAATTAAACAAAGAGGAATATTGCTGGTGAAACATTCCAACCACAGTGAATCACTACAGAAATGCCCTGCGTTTGGCGGGAAATAACCTGATGAAGCTTGGGAAAGAAAACAGGTGAGGCCAGCATGAGACGGGGAGGGGCAGGGAGGTGGGGGGTTAAGCCTGGAGAACTGGATCATGACCACTTCTTGGTCCTGTAATCAACTGGAATCCACTGAGAAGTATTAAAGAAGAGTTAAATGATCAGCAATTTGTGGAGGAAAGGTGTTTCTAGAAGGACCATGAAGGGCAGACGAAGAGGTGAGGGGTGAGCATGAAGGGGTGAGCAGTGGCTATGGGAAAGCTAGAAATGTAAATGTGTAAAGGATGATGACATTGAAATAAATACTGGTAGATGTATTAAAGAGTTATTTAAAATATAAAGCATGATGATAGATAGGATATAGGAGGTAATGGAGGTAATGGAGAGTAAGGTGTGCAGGTATAAGCACTAGGTTTGAGATTTATATCCATCAATAATAATGATGTCATTCATGAGGAAATATGCTGTAGGAAGGTGGAGGATCCAGACTATGAATCCAGACTTAGTGTACTGATTTTTATGAGAGTTTGAGTCACCTAAAACAAGGTTTGGCAAGATTCGTAAAGGCCAGGTAGTAAATATTTGGGGCTGTGCATGCCACGAATGGTCACTATTGCATATTTTTCTATTTATTTATTTACTTATTTATTATGCATATGGAAACTCTTTACAACATAAAAATTATTCTTAGCTACTGGGAAGTAGAAGAACAGGGGCAGGATTTGGACTGTGTCCTAAGAAGTCAGTAAGAGTGTCAGGAGTGAGGAGAAGGACTTCTGAGCCAGAAACATGAATGTTTAGGTTCAGGTATCATCAGTGCTTAGCGAGTAAGTGAGGCTGTGGATATAGATGAATTGGCCTAGGTAGACAAAGAATGAAAAGAGAAGAGAGACAGTGACTGAGCCTTGAGAAACTCTAATACATAATGGTCTACTAGAGGAAGAGAAGCCTAAAAATAGTACTAAAAGAGCTAGAAGAGAAGGGGTATAAACACAGTAGGAATATGGTATCACGGAAATTAAGGGAAGTTCATGGAGATCATTTTTCAGATGTGAAAAACTCTAAGAACTTAGATGCTGATGAATGATTCAATTGAAAAATAAGTTTACTAGATACTAGAGAGAGAATTGGTCATTGACAATGAATGGTTTCTCATAAAGCAGAAGAGAGCCTAATTGGACTTTATTTGGAGGTGATGTACCTCTCCTGTTATAGAACAGCCACGAAGAGAAGTGTGCAGATGCAGGTGCATTTGGAGATGCAGCAGCAGACAGTCTCCATCTGCAGGCTCAGACTCTCCCCATGAATCAGAAGAATAGGCTGTGGTCCCTCCATGAGCATGAGGGGGTCCTGTAAGGGGTGGGTGTAGTAGGTGTGAAGAGAGGAGAGAGGCAGAGAAAACTAGTAGGCTTGCTGAGTAGTGTTGAGAGCCTATGTGAGGTTGATTATCATAAATTTTTGGAAGTATTTGTCTCTATTTTTATATGATTTTCTAGGACAGTGTTTCATGCTTTGATATTGTCCAAATATCAAGTAAAAAGCAACTAGGAAAGTAACAGATGCATTTATCTTTTGACCCAGCATGCTCCCAAATAAAAACTGGCAAAATGTAAAATGACATGAGTCAAGCTATTAGTTTGGCATTCTTTTTAATGTGAGAATACTGAAACAGTACAAATATCTGCCATTTGACACAGGTGGAATAAATTTTAATATACTCATACAATAGAAAGGTATACAGGTTATTAAAATGGAATTAGGGAGAGCTCTATAATGTATTTTAAAAATAAAACATGCAAACCAACACCTATGGAGAGAGGCAAACCAATGCCTTTGGAGAGACACACAACCTTGCTGGATGGTTTCACATTGACTCCTGACAAAATCCTCCAATGGGTCTTCACTGCCTCCTGGGAATCCTACTGCATTATCCAAATCAATTTGCCCTCTTAGAGTTTGAAACTATTTCATGTTTTCTCCATACTCTCAGAACTCCAAAACTCCACCCCCATATTCCAACTGATGATTTTGCCTTTTATTTCACTCAGATTTAAAAATTCTGAAGAAAGCATCTTTATAGTCCTACCACCAAATGTAACATAACTAATACTCTATTAAAAAGGAAAAGTCTCTGAGCACCCATCTGAGGACAGTTTCCTGACACTGAGCTAGGTCACATCTTTTAAGCTACTCAATGATTTTCTCCCTTGGAATTTCCCCCTCCCTACGCATTCTCTTGAATAATTTATTCACTTGGAGAATATTTGTAAAACATTTACTGTAAGCCAGGAAATGTTCTAAAGTAATTTACAATTATTAACTCAGGTTGATAATCAGATTTTTCTGCCTACTGCATTCTTACTATTGAAAACATGGTACATCTTCAAGAAGCATTCACAAGCAAACATTCTGCTTCAGCAATGGGAGATTCTTCTGTTCAGCTCCACAGAAATGTCTTTGAAAAGAAAGTATATCACCTTTTCTGCCCCTATTTTTTCTCTTGAACCCACACCAATCAGGATTTCATTCTTACCACTCAAACAAACACCTCTTATCAGAATCACTAATGATCACTACATTGTCAGCTTCAGTGATCAAATCAGCTTTCATCCGGCTGGATCTAAGAGAGGCAGCATTTGACACAGCTAACCCCTCTTCCTTTCAAACTCCTGTCCTCACCTGACATTCAGAAATCACTCTCCTTTGATTTGCCTCTTATTTCACCTGGCTTCCTTTTGTCAGATCTCTCTCATTTTCCCTCCCTTTCAACTAGTGGTCTTAATCTTGGCTGCAAATTATAATCACCTGGGGAATCAAAAAAATAATTCTCAATGCCCAGGCCATACCCAAGACCCATCCTTGAGAAGGAGACCAAAGCATCCATAGTTTTACAAACTCCCCCAGATGATTCCAATGTGCAGCTGAAGTTAGGAATCACTGTTAGGCAAAGGAATTGATGTCCGAGAGCCATCAGAAGTGGTATCCACTGGCCACAGCCTCTCTGATCTCATCTCCTGTCCTTCTTCCCACTGGCTACTCCTCTTTAGCCACTGGGCTTCAAGCCATGCCTCAGACACAGCAAGCATCATCTCACCCCAGGGTTCTTGCATTTACCATAGACTCTGTCAGCAAGACCCTCACTTCCTCAGGACCTCTACTCAAGTGTCACTTTAGCAGAGGACTTCTGACCATTCTGTACAAAGCAGCCCTCTCCTCACCTGCTGCCCCCAGGGGTCTCCCCACCCCTGGGGCTGACTTCATTTTATCAATAGCCTTTTCTTCACTTGAAGCATTATGTAATATATGCTTCTTGAGGGTCTCCCTCACTGTGTTGTAAATTCTTAGGGGAAAATACTTTGTTTTGCTCACTGTTTAATCCTTAATCAACAGTTGAATCCACCAGAGTGGAGTAGACACTCTAGAAAGTTTATATAATAAACAGCTGCCTTTCTTTCTTTACCTAAATTTACTTTATCTTCTGTTTATATTATCATAAGCTCCATGTAAACTTCTAACATTTTTCTCTCACCTTGTTTAATATCACAGAATTATTTTTTTTTCAATACATTCCTGCTCTCTTTCCACGAATTTTCTTTCTTAAAAACCCTGTTATTTTGTTTTCCATTATTAGTCTTTACACTTACTGCTTACTGCTATGAACTAACACTGATTTTAAGAAGCATCTGGTAAAAAAATATACTTCTATACCTACTTCTTCACCAATATCAATCATCAGAATTTTTGCTTTAATTATGCATGAGTAATTTCATATTATGAATAATTGTAATGAGTATATTCTGTTGTGTAAATTATTTAATTCCTCAATATTTTTCTAATAGGTTCAACCCAAAGAAGCTGAATTTAAGATATATAATTATGCCAATAATTTTCATTGCACAATCAAGTAGTGGGATTGTAGCCATCATTTTAAAAGATAACCCTACATCTTTTAGATGTTCATAGTTTGAGGTGAATTTTCCAGCCATCAGGGTAATTAATTAATTTTTATTTTTACTAAATGCACTCATTTGTTCTGTTATATTCAGTTATCATTCTTTCTTGTTTTTTGCATGAATGTATGAGTCTTTTTTCTGTAAGCCTATGTGAATAGTAAATCTCAGTCTCTGCTCCCTTACGCTGGCCACTGCAGGGTAAGCCATTACGACTTGTGTTCTTTCTGATCTTGGGGGATTTTCCTTTCATCATGTGTGTGTCTAGAGAGTGGGAAACAGAGAGAAAAAGAGCTAGAGATAGAGGATTTATATATATGCATATATATACACATACACACATATATAGTTATATATGTTATATACTACATATACTGTATATAAACATATATAGTTATATACATGTATATGTAGATGTTATATGTAATTATGTACATATATGTATAAATGTTATATAATAGTTACTCATAAGTATATACGTATGTATATGTATATACATATATACATATGTAGATGTATATGTATGTATATAACTATGTATGTATATAACTATATGTAACATGTTACATAGATGTGTATGTAACTAATATATGCATGTATATAACATATACATATGTATATAACAATTTATAACATATATGTAAACAACTATATATAACATATACATAGATGTATATAATTGTATACATACACATGTATAGTTATGTATGTATATAACTATATATATAGCTCTCTCTCTCTCTCTATATATATATACACATTTTAATATATATTTCCTTATAGCCTAAGCCAACATTTGGTAATGACTTGAATATTTAAATTGTGGGCTAAAACAAATAAGCAAGATATATCCACACAAATGAAAATTACTCAGCAATTTAAATAATGAGGTAAGTCTATATTTTGTTAAGACGATGTGTCCACAACATGTATTTACATTAAAACAGCAGTATACAAAATGACTTGGGTAATATAATCCCATTTTAAAGGATCTCATGTTTATGAACATCTCATAGCAAATAATATGAAACCTACACATTATTATGTCAATATGTTTTTAGGGAGCTTGTTAAGTAATATTGCTTACTTCTAACTAGGTTCTTGTAATCCTTGCATTATTTTCCAATAAACATGAATTATTTTTCAAATTAGAGGTGAAAAAAAGCATTTTGTTAAAATAGGATGAAATGGATATTTAAATTATTTATGTACAAGTAAAATTCTAAGTCAGTTTCTGAGCAAAGTACATGTAGTATCCAATGATTCAAAATATGTTTTCTTTAAGTGTAAAACACAAATCCCAAACTGTAGTTGGCCTCACAGTTAACCTCAAAAATCCCCAAAGAATTTTTTTTTCCAAATAAAAGGTAGAAAAAGTTTCTTTGTACTGTGTAATTTTCTGGAGGTTGTAGCAAAGCATTATGACAAAAAGGAAGAGATTTATCTATTGAAAGCAAGGAAACAAATTGGTCATTGCTGGTACATGATATGATTGCAAAACCAAATAAAACATAGAACGGAAAGTAATACAACAGGTAAGAATCCGTAAAGGTACTTAATTGTAGGACAAATATGCAAAAGTCAACCATTTCTTTATGTTTATAAAGTTTATAAAATTCATCTCTAGTTTCTTCTAAATTGTTAAGCTGAAATACAATATTTTCCCTAACTGGTTAACCAATTTTCTTAGTAAAATCATTATAAAAGTCCACATTTTCCCACTAAATAATATTCAGCTATCAAATGTAAGAAAATGTCTTTAGAATAATAAATTTGCTATGGAGTGGCTTCTGCAAGTACCAGTTGCATCAAGAATGGTGTGGCCAGCACTTCATCATTGCAGGGAGGTTGACGGATACCGGCTTACTCCCAATTACTGTCTTCAAGTTCAGACACTCAATTTACATGGAACCACTACTTAAGTGCAAAGGCCAATGTGCAAGCAAACCCACATGAAATCACACTGTTTATATTAGAAATTGTAAGTAGCATCTAAAAATTACATTATCCAGTTTAAATGTTTAAGAATATACCATCAACAAATATTTTTAAAAAGAAATTAATAAGTAAATGATGTGTATTGAGCCATTCTTGCATTGCTATAAAGAAATGCCTGGGACTGGGTAATTTATAAAGAAAACAGGTTTAATTGGCTCACAGTTCTGCAGGCTCTACAGGAAGCATAACACTGGCACTGTTTCTGGGCAACCTTCAGGAAGCTTACAATCATGGCGGAAGGTGAAGCAGGAGCAGGCACGCTACACGGCAAAAGCAGGAGCAAGAGAACGAGGCGGGGAGGTGCTACATACTTTTAAAGGACCAGATCTCATGAGAACTCATTCACTATGGCAAGGACAGCGCCAAGAGAAATGGTGGTAAACCATTCATGAGAAATCTGCCCCCATGATGCAATCACCTTCCACCAGGCCCCAACTCCAACGCTGAGGATTACAATTCAGCATAAGATTTGGGCATGAATACACATCCAAACTATAGCATGATTCATATAGCTTGAAATAAAATGAAGAAAGTAAGAAGGGATGCAATGTTGTGTATCGTAACCTGTTTTATATAAACATATATTCTAACTGGCATATATTAAAACAAGACGCAGAAGAAAGAAACATTATGGTTCAAGAAATCATGACAAAGAAAAATTGTTCAGAGTATTCTGTGAGTTTTATATTATTGTTTCCCCCTTCCAGAATGTCATAAAAAATCTTTATTATTACTATCCCAAATGAAGCTATATGCAATGCTGTCCAAAGTCATCAAGGCTGAATAATGCTGAGGTGTCTAACGAATACTATAAGTGTTTTAAATAGGTCAATTTAACTTGTCCAATGACACGAGAGTGCTATTTTCCACCAAAGACCTTGTAATTAAGTTAAGGGCTGTGTTTCAGTTCATTATCACAATATGCATCACAAAACTACAATGAGCTAAAGCAGACCCATCACCATGTGTTGCTGTGGCTAATGAGACTTCTTCTTGTTTGAAATTTATCTGCTTTATATTCATTTAAATAGTCAGACAGCACGGTTGGAAATATGTTGCTTGGTTTCTGCTGCTGTATGTTTTCAGCAAATCTCTGGAATAATGTAAATATGTAATGGACAGCCCAATACAATTGTTGGTAATTCTAAGGGTCAGGAATCCACATAATGATCTTCTCGTAATAAAAAGATAAAAATCATGCCAGCAAGATTTCTCATCTGTGACTCTAGAAACCGATATCTGGCAATGTTTCTAAAACATCACAAAGTTTGTTATGATCTACTTTGAAATAAATGTGGGTACAGTGAAATGCTGTATGGATTTCAGATAAAATATGGGCTTTTGCAGTGAGCTTTTGTTCCAGTTTAATTCTGAAGAAAAATTTTCTTGTGAGTTTTAGTTCACATGTTCCTAATTTTATATTAAAAATGTGAACAAATATAAAGAAATTAATCTTTAATAATTATGCTGTATTTCAATCTATGGGCAAAGTTGTATATAAATTTGTTCATATTGTACAGAAAAAAATTCTAGTCTGTTTTTCAAAACTAACCTTTTAACACGTGTATTAGTACAACATTAAACATAATTTTAATACATATTTGTCAGGAATAACATTTTTATTTATGAAAGTTAGAAAGTACTTAAAAGTAGACAGAACCCAATTAATGCTACTTAAACATATCCCCAAATAAAATTGTCTTGTACATTTCACAGCCATTTTTCTCTGTATAATACGTAACTGAATGTGACTATTGCGCAAAAATGTGTGCATACACTTTACAATAAAGATGTACTATGAGAAAGTTGAAACCTCTCTTCCAAAGGCTGTTTTATAGCAGTGCATCATAACCTATTAACTGATTCCAAATGTGAGACCTATAGGAAGCTTTGGATTGTTACACATAAAAATGCCAAGTCATTTTCTTAAGATAAATTCATAGTAATGGAAAAAGGAAAAATATAAAATAAAAATCATTAGTTCCTAAGGAAAAAAAAGCTATTATTATGATGTTATAAATGTTTCTAGTAATCCCAATTATTCAATTGCCTGGACATAGCAAGATTTACTAAGCTTCTAGTAGCTACAAGAGTACATTAAAACAAATTCCTAGAAGCAGCTTATGATGTTAATTTTGTTCACAGTGTCACATAACTCGTGGAAAATTGGCCAATATTCAAGGCCATTAGCAATGTCTGAGAATCCATTGTCCTTTCTCTGTCAATGCTGATTCTGTCCTTTTTCAGGTGTATTTGCTAATTTGATTTAGTTATACCTCAACAGCATTTCACTGCTGCTTTAAGTTGCTTTCTTCAATTACTAAGGCATTTGAATATTTATTTTTATATGGGGGGGTTATATTCTCTAAATGAGTCCTAAGAACATTTCCATTAAGCATGCCATTCTTGTTAAATGTGCTGTATCTGGTACAAGTTGTCACCTAACTTTATATTGTGCTAATGGTGATTTTCTCCCTCCTAGATATGGTTTCACTTTTGATATTCTTAGAAAAGCCTTCTTGCTTTAAGATAATAAAAGTATCAGAATTTCACTTTGCTGTTTATGATTTCTTATTATTTCCTTTTAATTCATTTTCTATATTTGAAAGGTGAAGTTATTTAATTATTTTTGCTTCTCCGTTTTCAAGCAAGCTTTTATAATAGGACTGCTGTTTGAATATTGAATACACTGTTTTGAGTTTCTCCCTGATCATAAACACCTTCTTCATGATATAAAAAGAAATCACATATATTTTGATCAATTTTATGTATTTAAGGGTACTTAAAGTACCCTTAACATGTGTAACATAACAAAATACTCACTGTGTTCTTTAGCTCACTGGCAGTGTGATGAAAACAAGTAAATGGATACATAAACAGAGTTGGCACCTTGACTTACCTTGTGAATGACGCTCTATCTGCACAGATCTCAGGAGCCATTATGATTAACTGACAATGAAAAGGTAATTTCTAACTGATTTGCCCAGGGTGGGAGCTAGAAGGTTGATTTTATTAATCAAAGAGGCATATTTTATCCAATATTTGTCTGTACTTACAGAAATGTGTAGAGTTCTTTCACTTCCAATTTTACAAAAACAAGTAGAGATGGAACACCTATTCTGCAATGAAAATTACAGACAATTGGTGATAAAGACTCGTACAATGGACTGTGAAGCATTTAAGGTCTATTCAAGTATGTGTCTTCTGTTCCTTCTCATTAAAGAACTAATGATATTTCTTCATCACAGTGGCTAGAATTTTACTGATCCTGAATTTCTTTCCTTTTAGCTTCTCACAATGAAACTCAGATATAAATTTCTTATTTTAGGATCTTGATTTTCAATGTCAGACAATTCTTAGTTTATTTCATGGTGAGGCAAATGTTTCGGTAATTATGCACCACTCTGTCTTCAAGACTGGAGTGCAAGGGACTGCCTTTGCTTGGCAACTGGCTTTTTTTTTTTTTCTGTAGAAACAGCAGTTCACAGTATGGCAATGTGTGGGGCGGGTGGAGGGCTAGTCCTCTTTTATAGGATTAGTCACTCCTGTCTGTGGTCTCAGGAATCTAGGTTCCTGGTGGCTTCGCATCGGCAGGCTTGGTATACATATGGCATCAGGAAATCTACTAGGCAACAACTTCCCTAACATTTTATATGACAACACTAGCTTTTTTTTTCTCACAAACATACCAGTTTTACTATTTAAATCTGAGTAGTTGGCTTATAGAAGTATAGCTCTGCCAGAACCCAGCACTGCCCTAAACCATCTTGAATGAACGATGAATCCTCGGGGGTCAGGGCTGGTCCATGTTCTCTGACAGTTCACATTATTAAAGAAAATGTTTTGTGTTC
Source organism: Homo sapiens (assembly GCF_000001405.40). NCBI lineage: Eukaryota > Metazoa > Chordata > Mammalia > Primates > Hominidae > Homo > Homo sapiens. The sequence continues at coordinate 283,857 of NW_025791781.1, read as the reverse complement.
ATTTCTGTCAAATTAAAATACTTCCTAATATGTCAAGCAATTGCTTGTTTCGGGTATCTGTCAGATTTGCCATTGCTGCTAGATTAAGGTCAAAGTTGACAACTGAGCAAACATTGATAACATTTCCCAATAAGCAAGGGGATGATCCTGACAGCCTATTTTAGGTTGGAATCTTATTTCTTACCTTATTCAACTTCAGCCACTTAAATATTGTACAAAGTGGGAACACAGCTGCTAAATGTATAAAAAGGCAAGTTTGATATTTAACAAAGATTAGGTTATTTAAAAACATTCTATCTACCATGATTATAGTCCGGAGAACCGTTACAAATTCAAGCCAAGTGTCTACAAATATTTAATCCACGTGCATCTAGCAGAGAAGAAGCGGTTTCCAAAGTATGTTTGTTATAAGCACACATCTGTTGGTTACACATGACTAGTTTATCCTATCTTGGGTCTGATTATGTAAAAATATTTGCACCATCTGTTATTATCCTAGAATGTTAGTATGGGCAAGTTCATTAAAATTTTAAGATACTGTCCTCGCCTTACAAAAATAAAATAATTTTGTAGAATTAAGGGCAATGCTATCTTAAAAAATAATTGCATGTACTTTGTAATGAAGATAACATTTGTGGATTACTCACTGAAGCTCACATTCAGAGTTATTCAGAGGAGACTTGTTCAAAGTCACCTCTAAGATGCTACAATTGATTTTCATGCAAATGCCATGTTATAAGATTTAATAGCAAAAGGGAAATGTTTCACAAATTAAAGGGAGAAATTCATTTCCAAGTAGTTCAACACATTTGTTGATTAAATTACTTTCAATAGGGTGACTCTATTTTCAAGGTCAAAGAATTTGTAGCAGAGTAAAAAGAGACTCTTCCTCAAAAATGATAACTATTAAATGTGTGCATTTATTACTAGGAAATCTCTAAAGCACTTGAGGCCACCAAATAATTTATTTTTATTTTCATCATATGATATTGTCAAGACACAATTATAACAAATTTAGTTAAATGACCTAGGTGGCTTTGATTTTTTATTCATTAATCAGGTAGCATCTCATCTAAAAATAGAGAGGTGCTATAGTGGGCATGACAGACAGGTGGCTTTCATAAGGTAGCTTGAGCAAGAACCAGGAAACAGCACAAAACAAAAAGTGGATTACTATCAGATCACTTCAGGACATTTTCTTTGTAAGAGCTAAAGCAGAGGGGATTCCTTATCATGCCTGTTTAAAAGTGGCCTGTTTGGGGATTTGACTACCGTCTCTCTTGATTTCTCAGAAGGTCAAATAAACAACTTGGTTTTGCTTTGGTGATGTGGGTCTTTAGCATTAGTGACTCCATTTTGGTTTGGCACATTGGGGCCTAGTGCAGGAGCTCAGTCCAAATTAACAGCCTTCTGTATTTTCTATTTAACAATCTCATTTATACTCTTAAGCACATTTCTAAAGATAGCCTTAGAAAGACCTGTTAGTTTTCTTAACTTTATTTTTAAGAAATAAAGATACTTAATCTGAAACTCTACTTCTATATTGGTTGGATATATTTGTTGTTTTTGTACCTGAAATAAAATGTGTACATTCAACTCTAAATGCAATCACAGTTTGGGTCTATAAAGTTGCTCATGCATAATAGTTTCTCTTCTAAAACGTCCTGAAGGCTGCCGAGTTCCAATGACCCATGTAGACAGCAGTTTCCACATTGAATTCTTTCTCTTTGTGCAAATACCAGGAGAATCTCTGGATTACAAAGGACTGGGTAATCAGAGCTTCATCAAAAGGAATATTCTACTTGGCAGTACATATGTGAAGTAACTCTAGTCAGAGCAGAGAGAGTTCAATTTTTTTGTATTCTTAAAAACAGCAACAGAATGTTATTTTTTTCTTTTTCACCTTTTGATATCTTCCCAAATTGTATGGAGATTCAGAAGACTAATGCGATTGGATGATTTTCTACCACTTGGTACATCAGTTGTGGTAATTAGTGTGCAATAATATCTTTAGAATTAATGAATGGGCACTTGCATACTGTTTTTTTTTTAATTTAAAATTACTTTAAAAGTTCAGTTTCTTCAGTTTTATCCTACATTCTAAACATTTGAGAGGAAAAGTTACCGATAATTTTGCATTATTATATCATCTCAAATATTAAAACTATTTACAAACATTCATAGATCATAACACCTCGAACTATTTAGGCAGAGAAAAACTCTTAATTTGATAGAGAAATTATTTATTGCTTTAAAAATTGATTGAAAATAATTTGATGTTAATAACACAATTTCTGTATTATAATGGTAACCATTATAATGAAAGAAATCATTTTCTTTTTCAAAATTAATGATGTTCAGAATGTCACTGTATGTACGTACTACTCAGTAACATATAGGAGACTGTAAGAAAACAAAGTTTCTTTTGAACTACTTTTGCTGATTTCTTGCACTTTTTTAATTTAGATGAAATTCACATAGCATACAGTTAACCATCATAAAGTGTACAATTCAGTGGCAGTCACTGCATTCAAAATGCTGTGCAGCCTCCACCTCTCTCTAATGTCAAATATTTTCATCACTCACGAGAACATCCCATACACATTTCTGCCTCACCCTATCTCCTGGCAACTTCTAACATGCTGCCTCATTTTTAAAGGGTTTGCCCATCCTGGATATTTATATTCATGTAAAAGGAATCATTCACTATCTGACCTTTTGTGTCTGGCTTATTTTACTTAGCATATGCTTTTGAGGTTCATCCAAATTGTAGCATGTGTCAGTACTCCATTATTTTTGAAAGATGAAAATATTCCATTGTATTTATATACCATGATATGTCTATCCACTCATCTGTTGACGGACCTCTGGGACAGGCACCTTTTGGCTGTTATAAATAATGCTGCTATAAAATTTGTGTATAACTTTCATACAGATGTGAGTTTTCCTCTTTCTCAAGTATATGCCTAGGAGTGGAATAGCTGAGTCGTACAGCAGTTCTATGTTTAACTTTTTGAGGAATTGCCCAAATCTCTTTCATAATGGCTATTTCATTTTACATTCTCAACAGCAGTATGTGAGAGTTCCTGTTTCTCCATGTCCTCCCAAACACTTATCATTTTACCTTATTTTGATTTTAACACACTCTACTAGGTATGGAGTGGTATCTCATTGTGGTTTTGACTTGCTTTTCCTTCATCAACAATGATGTCGAACATGGCCTTTTGTTTTGTTTTGTTTTGTTTTTGGTTTTGGTTTTTTGGTTTTTTTTTCTTTTACCCGGGGTCTCACTCTGTCACCCAGGCTAGCTCACTGCAACCTCCGCCTCACAGGCTCAAGTGATTCTCCCATGTCACCTTCCCAAGTAGCTGGAACCACAGGCATGCACCACCATGCCTGGCTAACTGAACATCTTTTCATATGCTTTCTGGCCATTTGGATATTTTCTTTAGACAGTTGTCTATTCAAGTCATTTGTTCATATTTTATAAGTTGGATTGCTTGTCTTTTTGCTACTGAAAGAGTTCTTTGTATATTCTGGATACTAAACCCATATAAGGTACACGATTTACAAGTATTTTTCCTCCCTGTCTGTAGGTTGTCTTTTCACTTTCCTGATAATGTCCTTTGATGCTCGACAGCTTTTAATTTTTATGAAGTGCAATCATCTATCATGTTTTCTTTTATTGTTCATGACTTGGGGTCAAATTTTGGAATCTATTGCTAAGTAGAGACCATATAGATTTACCCCTGTGTTCTCTTCTAAAGGTTTTACAGTGTTAGTTTTTATATTTATGTTGTTGATCCATTTTGAAATAATTTTTGTAGATGAAGCGAGGTTAGTGGTTCACTTTCATTATTTTACATTCTTTACCTCATTGTATAGTCTTTGCACTCTGTTGGCCATAGACTTTTAGATTTATTTTTTGACTCAATTCTTTCTCACTAGTCTGTATGTCTATTCAGTACCACTTGATATTGATTATTGTAGTTTTGTAGTACCATTTAAAGTCAGAAAATGTGAGTCCTGCAACTTTATTTATCTTTTTCAGTATTGTTTTTGCTATTTGAGACCCCTTGTAATTCTACAAGGGTAGACTAAATGAACCACTTATTATTACAAAAGGGAAAAGTGGCAGGCATTACCTGGCCTTCAAACTGAGCATGTGAGGACAGGCTGCATGTTGCTTCTTATCATCATTTGATGATGATATCTTCAAATTTTGAATTTGATTTTTTTTGTTATTTTGGCTATAGTATATTTAATATTGATTTTGTCTTATCCAGATTTGAGCACACATTCTTAGTTATCTGCTTCTTTTTGTTTTCAAAGTATGTTCTCTTGATTATAGCATTTTTGCTAAGGGGGTATTTATTATAATTATTTTTAAAGCTTAAAAACTCCAAAGTAAAAATTAGGCTAAACCTATATCTGTTGAAGAATAGGTGCTATGACCATATCTTAGCCAGAAGTTAGCACTTCCCTGGCTAATTCTGAATGCCACAGCAAATGTATAGGAATACCACTTACCTGAGCCTTGCCATGAGCCCCTTGATTGTAGAGGAATTCCTTCCCCCAAGCACATGCACTGCTGGAACTGTGGGACAGCAAAGAGCAGAAGTAAACTGAAAATATCCTTTACGTATTCAGATCTCCTTAGCTTGCATTCACACTAGTCAAGACCATCTATATTTCAAATATGGGATGAAGACAAATGACTCTATGTAAAGGTCAGATAAAAGTAATTAAAAAGTCATATATAAATAAAGAGATTGCAGTTATGGAGAGCTGTATTACTTTAAGAAATCAGACTAGGTTCTTCTTTTATAACAATTTCTTCAGCAAAATAAGAAATTTTTAGAAATTTTGCCATAATGGAGAACAGCTGACTACTATAAAAAAGGAAACAGTCTAAGAACAGAAAAATTACACAATGGCTTTATATAAAACTATGTTGGACCAATGGACATTAAGCTGGATGCTAAGAAACAGATCAGAGAAAAAATTTTAAAAGTTAAATATGTTAGAATAAAAAGTATAATAAATTAATGAGAGCATAGTTAAAACAAGAACATCTATTCTGCATAAACTAGAAATATAAATTAAAAGAAGAATAAAACTAGTAACAACTTTACGGAGCAGGAGGAAACAGTAAATTTACAGTTTGAAAGAGATGAGCAATCAATATTAAGTATACTAACATGAACACACAACTTGGTGAAAATTTGCAATTTCAAGAATAAAATGAAAATTTTTTAAAGCATATAATCAGAAAACATGGTGTCTTATTTTTTTCACCATCATGTTGCCAGAACAACACAGCATCAAACAATAGTTGGCGCCTAATAAATATTTTGAATATTTCTTAATTGAATGAATGAATGAATGAATGAATGAAGTTAAAGTCAGAAGGACATCACACCTAACACAAATCACACTAAGATCCAAATACAGAGATACGTGAATTCTTGTGGCCCTATAATTATATAGCCAGGTAGATATTACTTGAGGGGAAAACGTGTCCAAAATCAAAGATATAAACTCAGGACAACTAGCTAATGAATCTTCCTGAGAAAAAAAGTCCCTCAGAAAAGCTTCCTGAAAAAATAAGTTACAAAAAGAGACACAACACCATATGAGGAGAAAACCAAGGTGAAGAGTAACGAGTGACAAAGTAATAAAGCTTTAGAGTGAAAGATGTTACAATTAAACAACCTAAGACTTGAATCAAGCATTTTAGTTGAAGGAAAATGGTTGTATAATGGAACCCTGTTACAAAAGACAAAAAATAACATTTGGGAATGTGTCTTATTTTGTTTGCTATTTTCCATATTAATATTAATACTAAAATAAACAGCGTTGTAAAAATAGTGGTAAGTAGTAAACGTCGGTCTGAGCGTTTGACCCCATTAGTGCCTCTCTTGTCTTCTTTCATTTGGAACAGTTTCCTTGTCTTTCCCTGTCTTTAATAACTGGAGCATCTTTGAAGAACACAGTCTGGTTCCCATGTATAATGTGCCTCAATTCAGGTGTAGCTGGTGTTTTATGCTGAGAAATTAAGTAATTTAGTTGAAAAAAAATGGTTGTGTAATGGAACCCTGTTATAAAGCACAAAAAAATAATAAATAACTGGAAACACTTTTTCCATATTAATATTAATACTAAAGTTTTAATGCAGGTTTGCATTTCCGATAGGAATACCACAGGCATTCCTATCGGAGATGCATTCTGCTCAGCACGTCTTATCCAGACGCACCTTTCTCCTCCTGGTTAAGGTAGTGTCAGTCAGATTTCCTCACTGTAAAGTTATTAATAAGTATGTCATAATTAATCAGTATTAATTATCTGTGAGTCAGTACTTTGAAGCTATGTCAACATCGTGTTCCTCATCCAACATTCACCCAGGTGCTGCGTGAAGGTCAAGAGACTTGGGAAGCAGATTCTGAGATGGGGACATGCACATACCAAGATGTAGGAGGAGGACGGGCAGAGGGAGAGGTTGAGCCGTGAGGCGTCCCCAAAGGGAGCCTCAGCCTGTCCCGCGGAGGTCGCAGCCTGGATGCTTGCCTCCTTCCAGTTGTCCTGAATGGGGTGAAGGGGCCAGGCCTTTCTCCAGCCCCCACTGACCTGTCACTGGAGGTGGGCTGCCTCTGGAGAGAGGGCGTCACCTTGGCCGTGGTGGTTCTTTTCACTGTAGAATAATCCTCCAAAAAGGAAATCCCCAAGTTCATAGCTGTCAACACCCCCAGTGCCTAGACCCAAGAAATCTGGGTCCTGGAGGGGAGGTAAAATCTGGATGGCACACCCCAGAGCTATTACAGAGGGTAGAATATGCCTGAAAGCCAGAAAGATATGCACAAGGGAAGGGGCCACCACAGTGGCACTGCACGCAGAGAGCACTGTGGACACAGATGCATCAGAGACAAGTCCTATTTGTCAATGTCAGCCCAGTCTCAGTTCTGGACTTCTCTTCATGGTAACTTACCACAAAAGCAAAACTTCGCTTTAAACACTTGCTAACAAAGTGCTGACCCCTGAATTTGTTATGTTTGTTGTGAACTAATTTATCTGTGGTAAGGGGGCAAGATGAGGATAGAAAAATCACAAATGAGAATATTTTGTAATGCTCAGAGGAACACACAGGAAGAAAAACTGGTGCTCAGGGGGTCTAATAATTGCAATTTCCTTGCTAATTGCCTTCAGGGGTAAAAATGTCATCTTCATGCATAATAAATTTTTAAAAATCAATATTTAAGACCTCATCAGAAAGATGTATCACTGAGTAACATGAATATCTCTGCTGACTCTGGGGCAATTTGTTGCTATTTGGGGGCCTTTGACTGTAAAATGCTGAGATAAATAAGTGCTTATGAAGTCTGCAAATTCCAATCAGAAAATTAGGCAGAGTTAACATGACATCTTTTTAAAAAGTCTTGTTATGGTTTCTGTACAGGAATATTTGGTCATCTGTGTTTAAATTAAATGGGGCTCTAGTGTTTAAGCCTTTGATCATCCCGTTTCATATTACATTTTGGAGAGGATAATATATTTTAATATGTCCACAGAATCAAAATGAACTACAGGTTGAATATGTTTATGAGCATTGACCAGTGCCTAATTCAATAGTTCTCAAAGTTTATGCTTTTCTGAGTCCTTTGAATTGTTAGATTGTATCTATTATTATTTTACTGTACCAGAAGTGAAAATAAACACATTTTCTAAATATTTATTTATAAATTACTGAAAATTAATTATCATTACATGTTACCATAAAAAGCATATTTTAAAAAATAAGCATACTTTCTAAAAAAAAAAGTATATATAACTTCTGCACTGAGAAGAAAATTCAGCCTCATGCAGGCATAGAGACAAATTTTCAATTAAGCCATTTCTTTTAAAATAATTGTACATTTACATGCAGATGCTAGAAGTAATATAGAGAGACCCCGTATACCCTTTACCCAGTTCCCCCCAATGGTAACATCTTGCAAAACCATAGCACAATATCACAGCCAAGACATTGACAATGAGGTCAAGATGCAGAATATTTCACAACAACAAATATTCTCCCTTTCTATAAAATGCCATTTTAAGAATATTATGTAAGTGGACTGTAACATTTTGGGATCAGCTATTTTCACTTGACATAGTTTTCTGGAGACTCATCAGGTTGTGTATGAACTAATGGTTTGTCCCTTTTTATTGCTGACTATTAGTCAGTGTTATGGGTGTACCACAGTGTGCTTTGAAGAACATCTGGACTGCTTCCAGAGTTTTGCTATGATGAATAAAACTGCTAAAAACATTAGTGTACAGGCTTTCTGTGAACTGGTGAGTCATATGATAATCACATATGAAAATCACAGTTTTTAGAAACTGCCAAATTTTTTTCCAGAGTGGCTGTTTTATTTTCCATTTCCAACAGCAATTTATGAGTAATATAGTTGTATTAGTCCGTTCTCACAGTGCTATACAGAATTACCTGAGACTGGGTAATTCATGAAGGAAACAGGTTTAATTGACTCACAGTTCCACAGGAAGCATGGCTGGGAGGCCTCAGGAAACACAGTCATGGTGGAAGGCAAAGGAGAAGCAAACATGTCTTACCATGGCAAAGCAGGAGAGAGAGAGAAATGAGGGCGAAGTGCCACACACTTTTAAACCCTCAGATCTCGTGAGAACTCACTCACTATCACAAGAACAGCAAGGGGGAAATCCATCCCCATGATCCATCCACCTCCCACCTGGCCCCTCCTCCAATTCAACATGAGATTTGAGCAGGAACACAAATCCAAGCAATATCACTAGTTTTCCTTCATCTCCATCACCATTTGCTGTAGTCACAGTTTTTATTTTAACCAGGCTAAAAGTTATGTAACAATATCTCATTGTGGTTTTAACTAGCATTTTTCTAATGGCTAATAATATTCGACATCATTTCATGTGCTTATTTGTCATCTCTATATTCTTATCACTGAAATACTTGTTCATGTATTTTGCCCATCTTCTAATTGGATTGTTTTATTGTTTACTGTTGAGTTTAGATAATTTATTTTATATATTCTAGATACTAGTTCTCTGTTGGACATGTGATCCACAAATATTTCTCTGTCTGTAGCTTGTCCTTTCATCTTTAAATATGATCTTTTACACAGTAAAACTTTTTAATTTTAATGAAATTGTATTTATTAGTTTTTCTTTTATGGATCATGTTTTTGGTGTTAAATCTAAGAATTCTATGCCAAGTAGTAGATCCTGAAGGCTTTCTCTCATGATTTTTCCCCTAAATGTTTTATAGTTTTACATTTTACACTTAAGTCTGTGATTCATTTTGAGTTAATCTTTGTATAATAGTTTTGTAAAGTATTAATTTTTATATAATTTCTGATGTGACCTAGGTGGAGCTGCCGCTAATTCTTCATTTATTCCTTTATTTGCCTCTGGATGTACAATTACCCCAGCTCCATTTATTGAAAAAGCTAAGGTGCTTCCTTTGAATTGCTTTTGAATTTTTGCCAAACTTGGTTTGGGTATGTTTGCTTGGGCCTACTTCTGGATTCTCTATTCTGTTCCCTTGATCTGTGTATGTCTCCTTCCACAAATACACACAGTCTTTATTACTGTATATTTTCACATTGGGTAGACTGATTCCTCCCACTTTATTTTACTTTTTTATTTTTTTAGCTACCCTAATACCTTTTTCAAAATTGTTTTAGTTATCCTAGTTTCTTTGCTTCTTCATATATATTTCATAATAACTTGTTTTATAAAAAATATTTCTGGTATTTGGACAGGAACTGTGTTAAATCGGTATATCTTTTTTTAACGAGTTGACATCTTTACTATGCTAAATCTTCCATTACATAATCATGGAATAGTCCACATTTATTTAAATCTTGAATTTCTTTTATCAGTGTTTTATAGTTTTCAGCATATAATTTGTGTATAAGTATTGTTGGATTTGCACCTTGTATTAGGCTGTTGCAAAACTGCATTATTATAAACAAAGACCAGAGACTGGGTAATTTATAATAAAAGAGGTTTAATGGCTCACAGTTCTGCAGGCTGTACAAGAAGCATAACAGCATCAGCTTCTGGGGAGGTCTCAGGAAGCTCACAATCATGGCAGAAGGTGAACCAGGAACAGGCATGTTACATGGCCAAAACAGGAGCAAAAGACAGAAAGTACACATGGGTGTGGTTAATGCCATATACTTGAAAACAACCAGATTTTGTGTGAACAGAGTGAGAACTCACTTCTCACTAAGTGGAAAGCCCAAGCCACTCATGAGGGATCCACCCGCGTCATCCAAAACCTCCCAACAGGCCCACTTCCAACACTGAGGATTACATTTCAACATGAGATTTGGACAGGGACAAATAGCCAAACTCTATCACACCTATTTCATGTTTTAAACTGTGTTGAATGATATTATTATAATTTCAAGGTCCACATGTTCACAGCTGCTGTATAGAAACGTTGTTGAACTTGGATTTTGTGGCTTTGCTGAACTCAATAGTTCTAGGATTTATTGTACAGATTCCTTGGTATTTTCTCTGTAGATGACCACGTCATCTGTAGAGACAGTTTCTTTCTGTTGAATCTGTGTGACTTTTTTCTTGACCTACTGCCTGGGTTAGAACTCTAGTCTTGACTCTCGCCATGAGGTCTCCCTTGGCACCACCCAGCAGGAGGCTGAAAGGTACCTTATTGCAGCCTCTTTAGGGTGGGGGACTATTCTCCCCACTCAGCCTTTGTGGCTCAGGTAGGAGGTAGGAGTGGAGCCACTGTGTGTTCTGTGATGTTTGGCTGGAGTAGCCATTATCATCTAAAAGCACTCTGTCTTGCTAGGCTGCTCCTTTCTTCATCCACTGGCTAAAGACAACCAGCTTTGTTGAGGGGTTGGGGGTTTTCTCTCTGTGCCAGTTATCAGCTTGTTCAGCACAGAGGCAACAAGAAAATCCAGAGAACACAGGCTCATGTCATTCCATGTGTCCTGAGGTCCCTAGCCAGTCTCAGCCTTTCAGAATCTTCTACAGGTCTCTGTGGATTGGTATGTCATGGCTTGTTTTATATATGTATACCCCAGGGCTTCTGTGGGAACACAGTGGGAAGGAATAACAAAACGTGTGTCTACTTCATCTTCCAGGAGGGGAGGTCTCAGAGTTGAGGATATTTTGAAGATATTATCAGATATTTATTTCCTCATTCCTTGTTTTCAAAAAATGAGACCAAGTAAAATACTCATTTAGCAAATAATGTGGTGAGATCATTTTGTGCAAGTGAGAATTGATGAATGTTCTTTATCATCCATACCTATTATATTCTGAGAACAAATCATTTCAGAAAGTGTTTATTTAAAGATTAAAAATCGGCCAGGCGCGGTGGCTCACGCCTGTAATCCCAGCACCTTGGGAGGCCAAGGAGGGCGGATCATGAGGTTAGGAGATCGAGACCATCCTGACTAACATGGTGAAACCCCCTCTCTACTAAAAATACAAAAAATTAGCCGTGCATGGTGGCGGGCGCCTGTAGTCCCAGCTACTCGGGAGGCTGAGGCAGGAGAATGGCGTGAATCCAGAAGGCAGAGCTTGCAGTGAGCGGAGATCGCGCCACTGCACTCCAGCCTGGGCAACAGAGCGTGGCGCCGTCTCAAACAAAACAAAACAAAACAACGACAACAACAAAAAAAGATTAAAAATCCATGAAATGTGTTTTTTACGTAAATATTATTCTTTCTAATATTACATAAGAAAATGTTTGATAATTTGAATTTATAAAATTTATAGGTAAAAGGCAGTTGGATTTAAAAGCATATAATAATCAAAACGGAATTTGGTCACTTTAGGGTTTGTGTAAATCAGGAATAGGCTTCTGGGTTAATCTTTCAGTCAACATAACAACATATATCTTGATTCTTATTCAGTGTTGCCATTGAATCCTTACAATATAAACCTGATGTTATCAGGGAACTATATTACCTTTTTTAAAAAATCATTGTAGCTAATGTTATAATTTTTCAACACAGATACTTATCTTTTAATGAAATTATGATTTGAGTAAGTGCAAAAAGATAAGGAAATGTCTCTTAATACAAAATGGCATGTTAATGTCAGTGAATAAACATCAATACTTAACCAAGTTCTCTAAAGCATTAATATAAACAGAGATGCAGTAGCTTATATGTGATTGCAATTTGAATTAATTTTGACATGTATCCTTCTAATAGCACTTTAAGTTTTATTTTTGAAGTGACTAAATAAGTATATTAGAACCGTTTCCCGAATCTTTGAATTCTGTGCCTTCTTTTTCACTTCTTATCTACATTAGAAAAGGAAAAGCCAATTTCCTTCCAGGATTTTCTCCTTGCTCAAGTTTACCCAAGAGAGAAGAGGAATGATATAATGATCAATAGACACTGCTGTTCCTATACTGTAATTATAAAAGTCTCTGATATTTATGTTCACATAAAGAGGGCAACCTTTGAAATGTGCCCTGAGGAAACATTAAAAATAGAAAGGGTATGGGACAGGACAAGAGAGCTGCAGAGAAAAAGAGAAAGGGAAAGAGAAACCAGCAGGGGAAAGACAAGAGCAGGAGAGGGGAAGAGGCAGGAAGAGGTGTTCGCAATCACAAGCCTGGGAATCGAACCAGGAACCCAGTCCCTGGAAGCTGAGGGTTAAGAAGGAAAAGGGGAAGAGAGATTAGTGTAGAGGATGAAAAGATAAGAATGACAAGGACCACCAACACCGAATCCTTCTTTATACCCTACAATAACAGGCATGCAGCAAAATTTTCTCTTTAGGGTGTGTTTCTTCCTGGAATCACATCCTGGGGTGTGTCTGCCAAAGTTACAGTTCTTGTTATTTCCCAGAAAAAGAACTGGTATTTCAAATCCAAGACCTCCTGGTAGGGCATTGCTAAGGGGATTGGTGTTTCTGGCTGGGCTTTTCCTGATCTGACCCCCAATCTTCCCATGTCCCCACATCATGCAGTGAGAGAGGGCTTCTCAACCCAAGGGGCCATGTCAAGAGAACCTAGCTGGTTCACCAACCTGGTCACAAAAACATTACACCTTCATTTTCACTAACTTGACTTTATGGGGTAACATCACTAAAGACTGATTCAGGAGCCTGAACTTCCCCAAAAGAGGCCCCCAGTCCATCCTTGTTGACCCCAGACCCCAACTCCATGTCAGTGAAGACCCTATTGGTACTGGGCCTCCACCACCCCCACACAGCAGTCTCAAGGAGCACACAACCACAACTGCTATGGAAAATGAGGATAAGAAGTCAGGATTTTCCAGAGTTGGGGAGGATCTTTTTTTCCTAACTGCAATACAGACAAGATTTTAAAAACCAAAATAATAACCAGTGGCCTATATTTCTCATACTCTGAAATATAATAGCAACATTGTGGGAATAAAGCAGGAAAACATAGGACTATGTCATGTATTTTATCACAGCTTGGAAACCTCAGTTCTAAGCCACTCAAAGAACAGGCAGCCACCTGAAAATTTAGGAGTACTGCCTCTCTCGCATTTTGCTGGAAATGTCCTGTCCAGGCCACAGGACACCAGAAAGAAAGAGATTAGTGGTTATTTAGTCCACCCCGAGATATATAGTCTAGAAGACTGGGAGGAGTGCATACACATTATATGTAGATTTTCATGCACTGAATTTTGTTGAAAAATTAGAGAATCCCTCATAGTTTGAGTATATTAGCTTTATTTCTTATTGATGAAACAGGTAGTGAACAAGGGAAGATTTTATCGTAAGGTTGGGCAGAGCTGTATTCTACACCTGAGATGAAAGTGGAACTGTCCAGGCTTGATGGCTCACGCCTCTAATCCCAGAACTTTGGGAGGCCAAGGCGGGTGGATCACTTGAGGTCAGGAGTTCAAGAACAGGCTGGCCAAAATGATGAAACCCCATATCTACTAAAAATACAAAAATTAGCCAGGTGTGGTGGTGCACACCCTTAATCCCAGCTACTCGGGAGGCTGAAGCCCAAGAATAGCTTGAACCTGGGTGATGGAGGTTGCAATGAACTGAGATCACACCACTGCACTCCAGCCTGGGCAAAAGAGCAAGATTCAGTTTAAAAAAAAAAAAGTGGGACTAATTTGTTATAGGCTGAAATAATGGGACAGAGAGCAGATGTCTTCAAATGTGCAGTCCCGGTTCTCTTTGTGTTCTGTGGAGAGATGTGCTTGGCCACAGCCCGTCAGGACTCACTATGGATTTGTACCTCGTCAGAGGGACACTTCGCCCCTGTGCCTTCTCTTTTGGAGGGGCACACCGGATAGTCACCTGCAGAGATACACTAGTCATTCCAGGGTCAGATGCAAAGCTGTATGACTTTAGGTGTCCTCTAGTAGCACAGGAAGTTATAGGAACAGGGTCTGTCTCATCAAGCTCATTTCTATGCAACCCCAGATGAGTCTTTTGATGTAATTGACCAAATACCACTTTTTACCATCAATCCATATCGTTGTCAAACATGATTCTTTCTACTGGAGCCACAAATTTGTTGACCTCTCTTTATCTAAAGTAAAGGAGGGAGGGCTAGTTGCCTCAACCCACCTTTGTTTTCTGCATAAACCAAGTGGGCTCTAACTGAATTTGTGTCCTAATGCAAACAGCACTTTTCCAGTTGTTGAGCAGGCTAGACCTAGGCCAGCTTCTGCCTGAGCAATGGTGAAAAGATAGGTTCCACCCAGAGGGGAGGAAGCTCCAGATGATGGGTGGAGGTGGGGCCAAGGTAAGTTCAGCCCTGCTGGGAAGCCACATCTCCTCCTTTCCCTTGCCCTCAGGATCCTATGGTCCATGCAGAGAAATCTGAGCCCCAGGTACCCACATCAATCTCCACAGTAACCTAGGTCAGTGCTCTATCATTTAGGGTCACAATAGTAGCAGAGGGTAGAGTACTGACTGAAGCATTCATTTTCACCCTATCTAAAAGGCACTTCACAACTTTGAAGGCCAGGATTCTGCTAATGGAACAGGATTTTCCACCATGGAAACGTCCCAAGAATTCATGCAAATACAAGGCAACTGAACTTTGAGGGACACAATCAGCTATGCCACAGGAGATTACGTTCTCCCATCTCACCCTTGGAACCAAGGGCACGAGAGTTCTGTCAGGTCAGAGAGTGGGCTGGACCCCAGAACTGAAATCAAGGAGGACAGAATCTCAAGGAATGGAGAGTAGTCTGACCTGATGGCTTCCTTTCATGCATTTTATGGCTTAGCAGGAATGCATACATTTTAAGAGAATGGGGAAGATGCCTGCTTGCCTGCTACAAGAAAAGAAGTACTGGCTAATCTCTAGATGAGACTCATCATTCTTTTGCTGATCCTCTTTTGCCCATCCTTACATCTCTCTTGATTCTGTCTTTTCACCCACCTCTGAGGAACTTGACCTAGTGAGCATGGCTAGTGATTCATTCTTGTAACAAGCCAGGCTGACGGAGCTCGAGGCACTACTAGACAGTGTACTGCCATATCCCCAGGCTCTGCTAAGCCTGCTTTCCCATCTGGGCTTTCTGTGTTTATTCCATTTCTTTCCTTCTGAGCAAATCCTCCATTTAAGAAGCAGAGGTGCACTCTTAAATCTGAGAATTTGAACAGGCTCTTCTCTTGTCTTGCTTTACCTCCTCCTTTTTTCCCTGTCCCATTTTTCCAGATGCTTGGAATGTTTAGACTTCCACACTCACACACAAAGCTGCCTCTTTGCAATCTCACTATAATTGCCTTACTGGAGCAGCTATGCCTGCCCCGTCATTATTTCCAGTTAGATTATTCATTTTTAGTAGGCTGCCCTTTATTAACTCTGCACTAACCACCACTGACTGTCTACACTCTTTCCTAGGAGAAATTTTATAAACAAACAACTCAAGCCTTGATGTGACAGCACAGGACTGTGAGGGAGGCCAGTGCCCTCTCCAGATCTCCCCAAAGCCCAGATGGTATCAAAAAAGGCTGCTGCTTCAACCCCTTCCTTGCCTGGCATCCTAGAGGTTGGGAGTCTTTTGTGCCTTCTTCCTTTTTCTTAGTAGGAAAGTCAAAAAAGGGGGTTTCCAAAACATGAGAAGGAATTAACAGATAAGAACAGGAAGGCAATTCTGTGTCCCCCTTCTCAGTAAATATACTGCTTTGGGATTTCTAAGGTCTATTCCCTCAGGGTTATAAGGGCTCCACAGAGAGACCTTGGAGCCAGATTGTCACCAATGACCCATCCATTCTCAGATTTAGTGACCTCTAATATGTCCCAGGGGTGCTGTCCCCCACTCCTGTGATAACCCATTCCTCAGGACTGTGTTATCCACCCTACACGTCTCATGGCTCTCTCCAGCAGCTGGCTCAGGAAAACTCTCATGGCATCATTTGGTGCTGCCTAGACTCCTGATTCTAAGGTGAGAGGAGGCAGGAATCTTTGTCATGCCAGCTGCTTGTGAAGAGGTGAGTATGGTCTAGGGCGAAGTAGAGAAGTCTTGGTGCTGTGCTACAGCAGATAAACCAGGACGACATGGGATAAGCCTGGGAGTGACTATCATGGATGAAATAAGCATGTGAGTCTCCAGTGCTGAGCACTTTGGGCCCAGCACCACCTGTTTAAGAGGCCTCCTTCAGCTGGTCTCCCTCACAAGCAGAGCCTTGACACAGGCATTCAGATCCATCCAATAGCTTACTTGGGAGGCATGGTAGATTGCCAGCCACATGGCCACCAACAATTCTTTGAATCCCTGTGCAGACACGCCACTCTTATCACCAAAAGATGGAGCCTGTTTCAGCTCTCTTTGAATCTGGGCTGGCTCTGTGACCTGTTTTGACCAATAACAAATGGCAGAGGTGGTGTTCTAAAAGTTTCTGGCCCAAGCTTTAAGAGCAGGTCCAGAAGGATTTCTCACAGCATTTTTTTAAAACATTTTGGGTTTTTTTTTTTGTTTGGTTGGTTGACATATAAAAATTGCATATATTTGTCATGTACAACATAATGTTTTTAAATATGTATACATTAAAGCAATATAATTAACATATACATTACCTCACATAGTTATCATTTTTTTCTGGTGAGAACACTTAAAATCTACTCTCAGCATTTTTCGAAAATAAAATGTTAGTAACTACAGTCACCATGATGTATAATGGATCTTTTGAAAGTATTTCTCCTGTCTAAATGAAATTGTGTATCCTTTGGTGAACCCTCCCCAACCTCCCGTCACACCCCTGCTAACCATCCTTCTCCTCTCCACATATATACGAGTTTAAACTTTGTAAGATTTCACATGTAAGTGAGACTATATGTGAATTACAGTATTTGTCTTTCTGTGCCTGGCTTAATTCACTGAACATAATGGCCTGCAGTTTCATCCATGTTGTTTCAAACGACAGAATTTCTTTCTTCTTTGTACTCTTGGGTCACTTACCTTCTCTTTGCATCCATTTGGACTCAAGCTGACAGGTAAAGAAGCTTGGGTTAGACCACAGTATGCTAAGAGATCTCAAGGAAAAGGCCCGGCCATTCCAGCTACCCAGTATTCCAGCCCTAGCTGAGCACTCCGATGGAGACAGTTTGAGCACTCCGATGGAGACAGTTGTGTGATTGAGCCTAGTTGACACCACATGTCCAGAAACACTGCCCAGCAGAGCCCAGCAAACCCACAGATATGAGAAATTGCTTAAGGCCATTAAGTATTGGGGTCATGTGTTGCATAGTAAGAGTTAACTGATCTAGGAGGTGATATAAGGAAGCAGTAGTTGGGGGACTGGGGGTGGGAAAGTAGAACTGGGGAGGGAAAGAGGCCAGTGAAGTGGGCATTGGTGAGCACTTTCCTTTCCTGCTGTGTGTAACTGAAGCTTGGTCTTCTGGAGAACTCTGGCAGACAGAGTTGAACATGCCTCAGTATTATCTAACTGGGAAATAGTAAGTGAAGTAATTCTTCTACCAACTGCCATTGGTCATTGGGTGGGGATGCGACCTGGGAGATTACCTCTCTAGGATGTTGGCTTGCCTCAGAAAGAAAAAAGTACTCATGGTCATAGGTGGCATAGTACGACTGGCATGAACAGGAACCGCAACTGCTAAGGAGATGTGGGTGGGAAGCATCAACTGCTTATCCCTGTAGATTTTAGGAATATTGTCCCATGGAAATATGTGAAGAAGGGTTGCTCTCATCTCAGCTTGTTCATGGCTAAAGAAGTTAGAAATTGTCTTGAGACCATCTTGCTTGCTCCACCAGGGACTCTGCTCCAGGAACACAAAGTTGGGCTGAGAATGATACAGTCCCATGAGAACTGAGAGATTTTGATGTGAAAGCAGGACTTTTTCTGCATCTAGATGGGCAGTGAGCAGCACCAAAGAATTCCTCACAGTATTTCTTTGTGTCTCTGGGCCACTTAGTTCTTATATCCACAGATGGCTGAAAACTGAAATTTAATAGCACAATACCATGAGAAGCACAGGAGAAACCAAACCCTGCCCAGGAGAATCAGAGATGTGTACTCAGCTGAAGGAGATATCCCAGATAACCATACAGGAAAGCAGCTACTCAGTGGCATAAGGAGGATGAAGAGGTCTGTCAGAAACAAGTTGGGTATTGTACTGCAAGACAACAAACCGAAGTGCAAGCCGGAAAGAAACATGAGGAGCTGAATTAAGGAGAAATAGTAGTAAACTAAAAACATAATTTTAGAAAGTCAAATCCAAATTAGAAGTAGCTTACAGCATAGAGTATCTCTAATCAGCCTTGTGACAGAAGACATGTGAATCAAGGTTCACAATGATAATAATTTTTTTAATGCAAAGATGATAAAGGCAATAGAAAATATGAAATCTATGCAGTAGTAGCACTTCACAAAAAAGAAACATGAATAAATCAATTAGAAACAATAGTTAAATTTAAAACATTTTTATGTCTGAAACAGATAGGTCTGAATCTGTAGATTAAAAGGGCTCCCATGTGCCGTGCATCTGCTTGCTCCCTGCCTGACGAGCTGCCCCGCCCCAACTTCTTGTCAGGTTAGATGCACAGAAGCTGAATTTCTGAGAAAATGTGGAGAACAAGGAGCTAAAGTGTGGCGGGGTGGGGTGAATGCCTTCAAAAAGGCAGTAGACATGAAGTCCTTGCCCATGCCTATGTCCTGAATGGTATTGCCTAGGTTTTCTTCTAGGGTTTTTATGGTTTTAGGTCTAACACTTAAGTCTTTAATCCATCTTGAATTAATTTTTGTATAAGGTGTAAGGAAGGGATCCAGTTTCAGCTTTCTACATATGGCTAGCCAGTTTTCCAAGCACCATTTATCAAATAGGGAATCATTTCCCCATTGCTTGTTTTTCTCAGGTTTGTCAAAGATCAGATGGTTGTAGATATGTGGCATTATTTCTGAGAGCTCTGTTCTGTTCCATTGGTCTATATCTCTGTTTTGGTACCAGTACCATGCTGTTTTGGTTACTGTAGCCTTGTAGTATAGTTTGAAGTCAGGTAGCATGATGCCTCCAGCTTTGTTCTTTTGGCTTAGGATTGACGTGGCAATGTGGGCTCTTTTTTGGTTCCATATGAACTTTAAAGTAGTTTTTTCCAATTCTCTGAAGAAAGTCATTGGTAGCTTGATGGGGATGGCATTGAATCTATAAATTACCTTGGGCAGTATGGCCATTTTCACGATATTAATTCTTCCTACCCATGAGCATGGAATGTTCTTCCATTTGTTTGTATCCTCTTTTATTTCATTGAGCAGTGGTTGGTAGTTCTCCTTGAAGATGTCCTTCACATCCCTTGTAAGTTGGATTCCTACGTATTTTATTCTCTTTGAAGCAATTGTGAATGGGAGTTCACTCATGATTTGGGACTGTAAACTAGTTCAACCATTGTGCAAGTCAGTGTGGTGATTCCTCAGGGATCTAGAACTAGAAATACCATTTGACCCAGCAATCCCATTACTGGCTATATACTCGAAGGATTATAAATCATGCTGCTATAAAGACACATGCACATGTATGTTCATTGCGGCACTATTCACAATAGCAAAGACTTGGAACCAAGTCAAATGTCCAACAATGATAGACTGGATTAAGAAAATGTGGCACATATACACCATGGAATGCTATGCAGCCATAAAAATTAATGAGTTCATGTCCTTTGTAGGGACGTGGATGAAGCTAGAAACCATCACTCTCAGCAAACTATCGCAAGGACAAAAAACCAAACACCGCATGTTCTCACTCATTGGTGGGAATTGAACCGTGAGAACACATGGACCCAGGAAGGGGAACATCACACACTGGGGCTTGTTGTGGGGTGGGGGGAGGGGGGAGGGATAGCATTTGGAGATATACCTAATGTTAAATGACGAGTTACTGGGTTCAGCACACCAACATGGCACATGTATACGTATGTAACTAACCCGCAGGTTGCGCACATGTACCCTAAAATTTAAAGTATAATTTAAAAAAAATACAAAAAAAAGAAAAAAGGCAGTAGAGAGGAGTGGTTGAAAACACAGGCTGTGGCTTCCAGGGTTTGAACTAAAGTTCCTCCAGTTATTATGTGTGAAGGCCGTGGGCAGGTTCCTTTTCTTCTTTGTCCCTCTGTTTCCTCCTTTGTACTTAATATGATGTCAATCTTCTTAAATGCACTAAGACTTTACTTGTGACCTGACATGATCTATCCTAGAGAATGTTCCATGTGCACTTCAGAAGCATGTGTATGTTGTTGCTATTGGATAGAAAGTTCTACATATGTCTGTTACGTCCATTGATCTAAAGTGTTCAAGTCCAGCATTTCTCTATTGATATTCTACCTATATGATCGGTCCACTACTGAAAAAGGGATATTGCACTACTATTATTTTATTGCAGTTTACCACCCTCTTCAGATCTTTTAATATTTTCTTTATATATTTAGGTACTTAGATATTGGGTGCATATATATAATAGCAATTCCTTTAAGGCAGACCTAATGATAATGAACTCCCTTAGCTTTTATTTGTCTGGGAAAGTTTTTATTTCTCTTTCATTTCAAAAAGACAGCTTTGCTGGATAAAATATTACTGGTTGGCAGGTTTTGTTCCTTCACCACACCACATTAAATATATGATCCCACTCTCTCCTGCCCTGCAGGATTTCCATTGAGAAATCTGCAGATAGTCATATTGGGACCCTCTTTTTATGTTGTGTATTATCTTTTACTGCTTTCAGAATTTTTTCTTTGTCTTTGATAGTTTATTATATGTCTTGATAACCTTCTCTTTGCATCGAATTTGATTGGAAACCTCTGTGCTTTCTCCAGATTAGAAAAGTTGTGAGCCATTGTTTCTTTAAATATGTTTTCTGGCCCATTTTCTCTTTCTTCTGCTTCTTAAAGATCCATTATGGGTTAGTTAGGTCTCTTGATGGTTTCCCATTATTCTCATAGCCTTTTTCATTCTTTTTTCTTTTTGCTCCTCTGCCAGAATAATTTTACATGTACTAATTTTTTCTTCAGCTTCATCAAGGCTACTGTTGAAGCTTTCTATTATTACATTTCTCAGTTCAGTCATTGTATTCTTCATCTTTAGGATTTCTATTTATTGTTTCTATTTTTTGTCAAACTCATTTTATAAATGCATTGTTTTCCAAATTTTATTTAATTTATTAACCCATACTTTCTTGTAGTTCACTGAACTTATTTATAAGTATTATTCAAATTATGTTTCTGTTGTTTCATAGATCTCCCTTTCTTTAGAGTTCATTCTTGGATCTTTGTTAGTTTCTCTTAGAGGTGTCATGATTTTCTGAGTCTTTGTAATGCCTGTGTTGTTGCTTTGACATCTACACATTTGAGGAGGCTCCTTTTGCAGCTTTTACAAGTGTTCTTTGGCAGGGATAGTCCTTCACTATTTAGTCTAGCCTCTGATTCTGGATAAGCCAGCTGGTAGGCCCTGGGCAGGAAGAGGTTGCTTTTAGTTTCTGTAGATGCCTGGACTGCTGTCTTTGCTTTGGGTTTGGGTGGGAGACATGGCTGAGATCTGCTATTCAGCAAAACTACTGGCTGAGCTCTGCAATCAGGCTGAGTTGCTGGATGGGCCCTACAATCACCTCTGATTAAGCTGGCCATAGGGTGTATTCCCTGGCCAGGTGGCACTATTCTTTGGGTTCAGCAGCTGGACAGGATTGCAAGAGGGGCCCTGAGGTTAGGTGGAGTTGCTGATCAGAATGGATGGGACCAGTTTCTATGCACATTAGAAATGCATGTTTGAGTTTTGCCTCTCTGTCTGGGCTGGACCATGGAGTGGGCTTTGAGGCTTATCTGAGGGTTGTTTAAACTTCCAGGTGTGGCAGATCTAGCTCCTAATCTTTGCCAAAAATTGCTGCACTGGCCATCTCCCTCCCTGGCTAGGGCCCCAGGACAGGGTCAGAGCTGATCCTGGAGACTAGCTATCTAAGATTTTAAGCCACGTAGTACATCCCTCTACTTCTGAGAGTGACCAGCTCAGCTTTGCACGTGGGCCATGCTGTTAGCTGGTACCTCTGATCAGGAATCACTGCTGCCAACTACAAAGACTTACCACCAAGATCTTCATAGTGGTTGTTGCTGCAGGCTCTACCTTCTCAGTTTGTTTCTACTCGACCCCAGGTGGCCTATCTGTGCCGTTCCTCACTGTGTTTCTCTTCAGATGAGACTCAAGTGGGCTTCCTGGGAAGCATCTCAGAATGATAGAGTCTGGATTTCCACTTCCAGTTCTCTTTTTCCTCCATAGTAATCATGATCCTAGGAAATTCTCTCTGTGGTGCTGTGCCTTCTTGGGGGAGAGAGAGGTATAATGTGATGAAAGTGGGATTATTTCTCTTACCCTTTCCATGCATTTTTTTATATATATACAACTCTGTTGACCATGGAGGTGACTCAGGCTTATTCCCAATTTCACCAAGATGTTCTTATCTGTATGTCATTGCTAGTTGAAATTTATGCAATGAGTAGCAAAGCTTTCTCTTTTACCGTTTTGCTGATATCCTGGTTCCTAATTTGCAATGGTGATATACTGCTATGCACCTTATTGAATTCTATGTATTAATACTTGTAAAAATAATTATAACACTGCTGGTGCATAGTAAGCAGTAAATAAATGTTAGCTCTTATGATTTTGGGGGCACTGATATTCTGTTTCAGATGGAAAAACATATAGTTATTAGTCTACTAATTTTAGTATTCTGTTACCATCAGTGTTAAAATTAGTAAATATTACAGATGGGCTCTGGCCTAAAATATTCTCTATACATTTTGGTACTATTTTGGAGACTACCTTTACAGTAATGATAATGATTATTATATTTTCATGAATATTCTAATGGAACATTTGGAAAGAGTAAATTAAAAATATATTGTCTGATACTATATTCTGTTAATCCAAACCTTCCAAGTCAAGTTTTCAGCAAAACCATTAAGTAGAAAATACATGTCTTTATAATGTTCTTATACTACTCCCTCCTTTAAATATTTTTCCCAAAACATCATTTGGATAAATAATCTTCTCTTAACAATAAAGAACCTCTTGTTCTGCCATGTAACAGTTAATCAGTTAAGCCAAGTCCTTTCCACATAATTTCCAGGTGAGAAAGTCGCCCATATATATTAAGGAATGGCACCAAGAAAATAAACATTTCTAGCCTGGAATATCTAGGATAGGACACAGGTAAATGAACACTCATAGGTTAATAACCTTATCACTCAGTATAGCCGAAAGCACATCTCAATCTCAAATCTCTCCCTTTGGTATGTTTCAGGACCAAATGTCTTTTCATGAACATATTAGGTTCTGTTTATATTTTTATCACAGCTCACTTATTACAATCTGTTTGCCAGCACTTTTATCAATGTCTTAGTTAACATAAACCTTTATTATTACTCATAAAATTACCAAGACTAAATATGTATTTAGCTATCTTACTGTGGCTATGAATTTTACAAGGTGACTATCTGTTGCATAAAATAATATTTATCTTACTATGCTCTAAATTTACTACCCTCTTAATTTCCTTCGGTGTCTCCATGAGAAACTTTATACCCAGGCATTTGGAAAGCTACACTCATTTATCCTGTTGCTCATAACTCATTTAAAAACCATAACATTTATGCTCTCACCAATTGCTGAGAGCTGCCCTAGACCTTAGCAGGTTTAAATGCCAAATTTTAAAACCACAATTAAAATATTTCATCAATTCATGAGGCTTATCTCGTTCTTCTTCATAAGTGCTTGCAATATCGTGGATCTTTTTTGTCATATTCTGCACATTTTGTTTAAGCATACTAACACATGAGATTATTCCAATAATTGTTCATTTAGGTGTTAAATTATGCTTAAAATAACCAAAGTAAACATATTTATACTGAATTTTGAACAATTGTCTCTGTACAACTTATATAAGATTTCCTCAACTTGTCTTCATTACAAAAAAATCTTAATGGAAAATCCTAGTTATATCCTAATATATGAACTATAGCTATTTCTTGGTGGTATTTTTTTCTCAATGATTTCTACATTTTTATCTGTCTTCTTTCATCATTCCTTTAATTTTTACTGTGAATTTAAAATATTTATAAAAGAATAATACAATTGTGAATAATAAAAATGAATTTTGTGAAAATTATCAATTTGTGGAAATTGATATTCATTTGTATTTCTTTATCTGAAGATACTGTTCATGCTTATGTCCTTATTTTTTCTTTGTTTTTAGCAGCTTTTTTGAGATATAATTTCATGTATCATACTATTCATCCATTTAAAGTGTACAATTCAATAGATTTTAGTGTATCCACAGAGTTACACAATCATCATCATAATCAATTTGAGAATACATGTATCACTCTAAAAAGAAACCTCATACCCAGGACTAATTACTCCCATTTTCCGGCCAACTCCTAGAGTGAGAGAAGGAGATGGACAATGGAAGCAGAGGTTGGAGTGATGCAAGGAAAAAACCATGAGGCAAGGCATATAGGCAGCCCATAACCATTGAAAGAAGCCAGGAAACAAATTATCCTACAGCGTCTCCAGGAAGGCTGACAGCCCTGATGCCACTGTGATTTTAGCCCGGTGAAATTCATGCCATACTTCTGACTACAGAACTAAAAGATGATAAATTTAAGTTATTTTTAAGCCATCAAACTTGTAATAATTTGTTATAGCAATAGTAGGAAACTAATAGACTAGGGTACAGAGAAAAATGACTTTTGTACACTGATGGTGCAGCCTGCTGAACTCATATTTAAAAATTTTTTTAGCAAATTTCTTAACACTTTCTTTGGATACGATCATGACTTCTGCAAATAGAGATAATTTTACCTCCTTGTTTTTAATCTGAATGTCTCTTACTTCTTCTTGATAAATTGTCCTGTCTGGAATCCCCTATTCAATTTTGAATCAAGTGGTAGGAATGGACATCCTTGTGTTTCTGCTCTGAGGGGATGAACATTCAGTCTTTCAACATTAAGCCTGGTGTTAGCCGTGGGTGTTTTTTCTTTATAATAGTGAAAGAATTCCCTTTATTTGTAGTTTGTTGAGTATTTTTATCATGACCTTGGATTTTGTCAAATGCTTTTTCTGTGTCTACTCAGATAATCACGTGGTTTTTCCCTCCTATGTCTTATGGATACCTACAATTTTAAAAATCATATATAGTGTGTGAATCCTGAAAATTTGAGACAGGTCTCAGTTAATTTAGAAAGTTTATTTTGCCATTGTTGAGGACGCATTCCCATGACACAGCCTCAGAAAGTCCTGACACGTGCTCAAGGTAGTTGTGCACAGCTTAGTTTTATACATTTTAGGGAGACATGAGATATCAATCAATATATGTAAGAAGTACATTGGTTGGGTCAGGAAAGGCTTGACAACTTGAAGCAAAGGCAGGAAGACTGGAAGCCGGGAGGGAGCTTCCAGGTCACAGATAGGTGAGACACAAACAGTTGCATTCTTTTGAGTTTCTTATTAGCCTTTCCAAAGGAGGCAATCAGATATGCATCTACCTCAGTGAACAGAGGGGTGACTTTGAATAGAATGGGAGGCAGGTTTGCCCTGAGCAGTTCCCAGCTTAAAGGGGCCCAAGATATTTTCCTTTCACAAGTAGGATACACAAACAAGAAAATGACTTTCATGAAGCAAGAAGTTTAGTTTACTCAGAGTTCCCTAGAAGCAGGATGGATGGCCAGCCATGCAGGACACACGGGGAAGCAGTGGGGTCTGTAGGAAGACAGAGGGATGGAGGAGAAAAGTGGGTGGGAACTTTTGTTCTGGTTCCCACAAAAATCAGGCAAGGAAGGTTAAGCAGACTTGGAATTGGATGGTTTGAATCATTTTACCAGGCTCTGAGGCTTAGGAACTGTCTTAGTAATCTAGTTGTTGGACACCTGCCCCTGGGGAATAGTGATAGACCAAGAGAAAAGGTGGGTGGATGTGTGGGGGCTGGGTGGGTTTTTTCCACAGAAAATGTGTTCTTGGAGGTGGGTGGTTTGCTATCTCTAGGGAGTGGCTAGCCCTGGAAGGACCAGTTCCTCCAGTGTCTATAAGGCCCACATGTGAAAGCATCAAAAAGAAGAAACAAACAAACAGAAAAGTAAAAAGACACATTTAATATACCCTACATTCTGTTAATATAGTATACTACATTAGTTGACTTTTGGATATTAAACCAATTTTGCATTCCTAGGATAAATCCCACTCCATTATGTTATATAATAATTTTTATATGTTGCTGGAATTTATTTGCTAGTAGTAGTCTATTGAATATTTTTGCGTCTGTATTAATAAAAGATATTGGGGTGTAGCTTTGTTTCTTATTTTTATTTCATTTTCCTTTTTTTCCTTTGTGATGCCTTTGGTTTTGTTATTGGGGTAATGAGGACTTCATAGAATGAGTTGGGAAGTGTACAGTATTATTCTTTTTTTTTTTTTTGAAAAGATTGTTAAGGACTGGTTTTCTTTAAATGCATGGTAGAGTTCACTCATGAAGCTCTCTGAGTCAGCTTTTTTTTTAAGTGAAGTTTTTAAGTTACCAGGCAATCTCCTCCTCTATCTCTCGATTGGCTTCCTCATGTCTAAAGCATTGAGAGTCAGTCCCACTTTACCTATGTCTCAGGACAGTTGTAAAGACTAAATAAGAAGTTATACATACTGCCTTGTGAACTAGGGGAGGCTTTCCAACATTAGGTATCAAGACAGCCAAGTAAAAAGGGGTCCCTGGAGAATCTCCAACCCGCCAGCATACCGGGATGACGAGGTGGAGCCTCAGAAAGTTCATGCTGTTTGCAGCGGGGAAGAGTGTGGTCTCTCCTGTTCCTGTGTGGGAACCTAGGATTCAATCTGTTAGGCAGGACTCTCTCTCGCTTTGCTAAGAGTCCCTGTTTCCTTTTTTTTTCCTTTTCACCCAATAAACCCTGCCCTATTCACCCTACGGTGTGTCCAGGTGCCTAAATTATCCTGGTTGTGTGGCAAGGACCTGTTTTTTTCTACAACGGCATCACTATGTAGAGCAGATGAATAAAAAGGAAAAATAGATTTTTAGTAAAGACAAAGTCAATCACACAGCATGACGAACATGCAGCTGTGAAAGATTATATTAGAAGAAGAAGACACCAAATGTTTTCTCTAGATTAAATATGGATTGCATTTTTAAACACCTTAAGCACCATTTAATCCTCCATATTTTAAATAAACCGTTTAATTTTTAAAATAATTGTTCTTTGAAGAGAACACAAAAGATACAAAAAATTTACATAAGGAAATAGAAAGCATTTATAACTAATACTGATTTAGCATACTGAAGCTGCCCACAATTTATATGCATTTTTTTCACACGCACATACTATTTAGCTTTTTTTCTGACTTTTTAAACGTCTGTCTACACATCGTCAAGATCCTAAGCAAACGGCTAATTTTTGTATTTTCAATACCAGTGCTCTCTCATTTTAGTTCAAATCTCAGACACCTTTTTTTTGACCTTAGCCCACCGTTTCTTGTTCCAGCCTCTGTTCTCCTTAGGGCTCCTGGTTACCTGGTTACTGATTAATGGAAAAATATATTCCTATAAGCACCTGCTTCAGCACTTGTGTTGTTAAAAAGGAATACCTGAGGCTGGGTCATTTATAAAGAAAACACATGTATTCGGCTCACGGTTTGGCAGGCTGTACTGCATGGCGCCAGCATCTGCTTCAGATGAGGCACTCAGGCTGCTTCCAGGCACCACGGAAGGTGAAGGGGAACGCACATGTGTAGAAATCACATGGTGAGAGAGGAAGCAAGAGAGAGAGTGAAGATGCCAGGCCCTTTTTAACAACCAGCTCTCCAAGTAACTCTCTCAGGAAGAAATAGAGTAAGAGCTCAGTCACCACTGCAGGGACAGCACCAATCCATTTATGAGAGACCCACCGCCATGAGCCAAACACCTCACACTAGGCCCCACCTTCAACACTGGGGATCACATTTCAACATGAGATTTAGAGGGTAAAATCTAAACTGTACCAGAACCCAATTCCTGCCTGCTGCCTGGACTCACTGTTGATGCGGATAGGAGACTACAGTTAG
The DNA here is from genome assembly GCF_000001405.40 of Homo sapiens. Lineage (NCBI taxonomy): Eukaryota > Metazoa > Chordata > Mammalia > Primates > Hominidae > Homo > Homo sapiens. The sequence goes on along the minus strand of NW_025791781.1, from coordinate 255,294 downwards.
TGGGAAAATGCTTCATGAAGACACACACACACAAATACAACCTCGTTCTTCCATGAAGGGCAGCATCATGGGTCTCTAACCTGATCCTCCTTCCTTCCCACGTTACCCCAAACCCTCCAGCACTCAGCTCCCCCATTAAGATTAACAACAATGTCTCTGCTGCTGACTCACTTTCTATGGAACCAGGCTGTTCCTGATTTAGCTGTTCACTCCAGAGGCTCATGTGGTCTAAAATATTCGGGGAGCTCCAGGAGCCCCTGCTATGGGTCCCAGAATGGAAGGGGCAGGCTTATTTTCCTCTACCTGTCCTGTGCTCTGTCCCTGAGCATGAGTTCCTCATAGATGTGGGACGCTGAACCATGATGGGTAACACTGGACTCAGGACTGTGGGCATCCCAAATGCAGAGAAGCTGTGGCTGCCTGGTTTTATGAATCTTTAAGTTGGAGTGCTGGAAACAGGGAGGCCTAAATCCCACCTATGTACAGGACTAGACCCTCAGCAGCTAATTGTGTGTTTGCTTCCTCCTTCGCTGTCCCTTCTTTTGGTGGAAATCCTTTCCAAAATCTAGAAATAAGTGCACTGGTAACCTCTGGTAACCTTTACCTTCTTTGTTGTGACTCTCAGCTTTTTTTTCCTATCCCTTCCCAAGTGGTAGCACTTTTCTTTGAGATGGGGTCCCAGTCTCTTGCCCAGGCTGCAAAGCAAGTGACGCAATCATAGCTCACTGCAGCCTGGACCTCACAGGCTCAAGCGACCCTCCCACCTAAACCTCTGGAGTAGCGAAGACTACAGATGCTGCATTTTGTTGTTGTTGTAGAGATGAGGGGTAGGGGGGCTCACTACATTGCCCAGGCTGATCTGGAACTCCTGGCATCAAACAGTCCTCTTGTCTCAGCCTCCCAAAGCACTGGGATTACATGTGCTTGCCACCACGCCCAGCCCAGGTGGAAGAATATTTTGAGAATCCACTGCTGTCTGGATCTATTTTATCCTGGAAGTTTAAATCACGTTTTTTGTATGTGGGGAGAAAATATTCATTTGGCTGGATGAGATGAACTGTGGCACCAAATTTTTAATATGGTGTGATTTTTAATAGTAAAATGGCAAAATGAATGACTTCCTATAATTACTTTTACTATGTCACAAATAATTTGGCACAATGGCAAAAAGAGCAATTCAGAATGATTCCCAGAAAATTGACTAATACAATACTATTGCATTTTAATAAAAATAATTATCTGCTTTAAATACTTACTGATTTATTTTAAATGTAAATCCATACAACATAATAATGCATTCTTATCCTTGCTGTTAATTCATCAAATACTATGCATTCAGGTATTATGCTTCAAGTTCATATCAAGATCTTAAGCATTCATTATCAAGTCAAAATAAACATGAATTGGTACCAGAAAAAACTTCCACTGGCTTTCATAAAAGTTGCTTTAAAATTTAGCACTCAGAGGATAATCAAAAGAACTAGTGCTCTATATTTAGAAACCAATTCCCTATTTGAAATATGGACAGATAAAATGACTTCAAGGAAATGTTTGTAATTATTGTACGAACATGCTTCAATATTCAGCATGTTAAGGGAATGCAACAAAATCTAAAGCAATAGAATTTCAAAATCAAAGTTACTATTCCACCATTATTAGTATTCTAATGGTCCCTTGCCAACAACATACCAGGAAATTTTTAAAAGCTTCGCACACAGAAACAAGAAATGAATGCTTTTTATCATTACTAAATGAGAAAGCCACAGAAAAGGGTTTAAATATCCAAGGTAAAATATATAACAATCCCGACTTCCAAAATAACTCTATTACAAGCATTTATAAAAACAAGTATATTTGGTATTTTTAGAAGGAATAAAAAAGTTCATACTATCTTTGGAATTTGAACATAAAATACAGCTTTTATAGTCATATAACAACTTTTTGTTCTGAGATTTTTTTTTTGACTGAGTTTTGCTTTTGTTGCCCAGGCTGGAGTGCAATGGCACAATCTTGCCTCACCACAACCTCCACCTCCTGGGTTCAAGTGATTCTCCTGCCTCAACCTCCCAAGTAGCTGGGATTACAGGCATGTGCCACCATGCCCGGCTCATTTTTGTATTTTTGGTAGAGACGGGGTTTCTCCATGTTGGTCAGGCTGGTCTTAAACTCCCGATCTTAGGTGATCTGCCCACCTCAGCCTTGCAAAGTGCTGGGATTACAGGCATGAACCACCGTGCCCAGCCTGTCCTGAGATTTTTTTAAACTTCTAAATTCTTCAGTATTTATTACGGTGAATTTTAGTGTGGCTAATATTTTTTGTTTATTATGATTGGTTATTTTAATATTAAAATACTATTATAATAAATAAAATAGGTTATTTTAATGTTAAACTATTTAAAAATTTATATCTTATATTACTTATTTTACAAGTATTGTAACTACCTAGACGTGACTATATTGAGCAGTTCAGAAACATTTTCAAATACATAGACATTTATGGTTAAAAAGTTAAATGTATTTCTTTCTATTAAATTGTGCTACAGCAACACAGAATGAAGTGGAAAGTAAAATAGATCCTCTTGCTATCAATATAGTCTATCATTGGGTCCAGTATTAAATTTTTGCTGTGGCAATGTGAACTATTTTGTTCATGTATGTCATCTACTTTATTTTTCATTAGGATTTCCCTCATTCTCACTATCTGCGCCTTCCTTTGTTGTGTGTTGTGGGTAAGCTGAAGAGAAATCAAGTGATGTCATATCAAAGCAGAGGACTGCCAAAATGGTATTAATTCTTAATAAAATAATGAAATTTTTTAATTTCAATGATTTTAAAGAAGACATGGGGCATGTTCTCCTATATCCTATGTCACTTTCAAATTTAATCAGTCAGAAACATTTAACCATAGCTTCCAGTGTCTTAACTACTTCTTCATTCTCAAATACTGAATCCTAGATTTTGCCCCTTGTACCTGAGACAGTCTAGCTAGCTTGTAGCTGACTTCCTGCCAAGTTTCTTCCACATTCATAGCATATGTGTTAATTCTTCCTAGTGTGTTTTCTTAATTTTGCCATTCCTTGATGAGTAATTTATAGTGACTTCCTCTCCCACATAGTTTTTTATTAATAAGAATGAACAACAAATTTATTAGGTCTGAGATCCAAATTCAGGTGTCTATAACCCTCAGAGTAAAATATTTCTCTATTCTGAGCAATGTGTTTAAAAAATATATTAAATTATTGTGGAACGTACATATTAAATTATCTTTATTTCAGTGTTACTTGAATATACACAACATAAACTGCAAATTTCTCAGGCTTTGGATTTCTGTGAAAATATAGAGTTAAAGCAATTTAGTAAATTAATGCAAACAAAATTAAAATCATATTAAATCAATAAAATGAAGATGCTTAAAACCACTGCTAGTGGTGGTGATATCAGCAAGATGACAGAATAGGAGCATTTTGCTGTTATCTCTGCACAGAAGCATCAATTTTGACAGCCACTGGCAGATGAGAGTCCCTATGTGAAAGTCCAGGAGTCAAATCCGGAAAATTCAACACACTATGGAGCAAAAAGTCTGAGAACAGATGGATTAAAGAGGATACTTTATTCCTGTCACCCCTCCCACAGGCGGCACAGCTCGGTGTCAACGAACACTCTTGACACACGATTTCCTTCACAGGATAAAGTGTGAGCACAGGATAAAGCTGAGTGAGCACTCAGCTTTCCCAGCTATGCGAGATGCTGCCCGAAAAACCCACTTTTTCTCACCCCACCCAGAATGCTGAGGTAATCAGCATGGTTGGGAAGGGCTGGGAGCAGAGAACAGAGAAGACATAGCAACAGAGGCTCAGAACTCAACCAAAGCTGGATCCTACTAACCACTTAGTGTACTACATCAGTTAAGTCCACACATGAGCCACTTCAAAAAAACTTACCTTGGACCTGCCAAGGCCTCACAGGCATACCCAATGCATCACACACCTCACTCCCTGTCACCCCATGACTGGCTCCCCACACAGTGCAGCAGAGAGCAATTGTGAGTCTCTACATATAGCTCCCGAGCATGCTTAGACAGTGGGCTTAACATTGTGAGATGCGAAGGAGGACACAAAGTTATGTATTGCAAGGCACCACTCCAGGGAAAAACAGACAGAAAACATCAAGCAACTACCCTGGCTTTGCAGGATTGAGAGAAGGCATATAATCATAAAAATTATTTTTCAAAAGGGATCAAAAAGTATGGAGAAGATAATCCATAGAAAAGGTCAGAAAGAGCCTAAGAATCTCTAGCCAGGCTGAGATATGAAGGTGTCTCTGTCCTGAAGCCAGTCAGTAAAGAGGAGAGAAGATTACTTGTTCTTCAAATGCAAGGACAGCAAGGCAAGACTGAAAGGAATACAAAAAAATCAAGGAACCATGACACCACCAAAGGAGCACAAATTTCTAATAACCAAACACAAAAATTTGAGACCTATAAATTGCCTTACACAGAATTCAAAACAATTTTAAAGAAGTTCAATGAGTTACGAAAGAATACAGATAAACAACTCAACAAAAAGCAGAAAAATAGTATATGAACAAACAGGATATTCAACAAAGAGATAGAAAGTATAAAAAGAATCAAACAGAAACTCTGGAGCTGAAGAATACATTGAAAGAAATAAAATATGCAATTGAGAGTTTCAACAGCAGACTGGATAGAGCAGAAGAGAGAATGTATACATTCAAAGACAGGTCACATGAAATAATCCAGAGGACAAAAAAAATAAAAGAAGTAGAATTTGGGAAGCCTATGGAATACATGGAACCCTATGAATAAAATTATCCAGTCAATGTAGAAAAAGATAAAAGAATGACAAGGATGAAAATAAAAGCCTATGGAATTTATTAGATTATTGAGAGACCTGATATATGAATTATGGAAGTCCCAGGAGTAAAAGAGAGAAGACTCAAATAAATAAACTCAGAAAAAAAAGAAAAACATTGCAACTAATAGCACAGAAATCACAAATATAAGGGACTATTATGAACAATTATAACCCAATAATTGGATAACCTAGAATAAATGGATAAATTATTAGAAATATGCAAACTACCAACAGTGAATCATGAAGAAAAAAGTCCAAAGAGGGCAATAATAAATATAGAGATTGAATCAGTAATCAAAAACCCACAACAAAGAAAAACTCAGGACCTGACTGCTTTACTGGTGAGTTCTACTAAACATTTAAATAATTAAAAGCAGTCCTCAACTCTTCTGAAATGTTGTCAAGGAGTAAACACATCCAAACTCCTTTTACAAGGCCAATATTACCTAGACATCAAAACCAGACAAAGTGGCCAGGTGTGGGGTGGCTCACGTCTGTAATCCCAGCACTTTGAGAGGACAAGACAGGTGAATCACTTGAGGTCAGGTGTTCAAGACCAGCCTGGCCAACATGGCAAAACCCCGTCTCTACTAAAAATACAATAAGTTAGCACCTGCCTGTAATTCCAGCTATTCAGGAAGCTGAGGCAGGAGAATCGCTTGAACCTGGGAGGCAGAGGTTGCAGTGAGTGGAGATCACACCACTGCACTCCAGCCTGGGAACATGGATGCATAAATTCTCAACAAAATACTGCTAAGCCAAATTCAAAGCTACATTAAAGGGATCGTACATTATGATAAGTAAAAAGTGATTTACCCCTGGGATGCAGGGATGGTTTGATCTGTGCAAATTAATAAATGTAATACACTACCTTAATATAATGAAGGATTATGTCATATGATCATCTTAATAGATGCATAAAAAGCATCTGATAAAACTCATCATCCTTTCATTATACAAACTCTCAACAAATTAGATATACATGGAAATGTACTACAAAATAATAAAGAACATATATGACTATAGCTAGCAACATACTCAGTGAAGAAAAACTAAATTTTTTTCTCTAAAATTATCAACAAGACAAGGTGTCCACTCTCATTACCTCTACTCAGTAAAATACTAGAAATCATAGCCAAAGCAATTAGGCAAAAAGGGAGAAAAAAAGAAATAAAAGACAACCACATTGGAAGTCAATAAGTAAAATATTCTGTGTTTGCAGACGGCATTAACTTATGTACAGAAAGCACTAAAAACTCCACCAAAAACTGTTAGATCCACAAATTTAGTAAAGTTAATTTGGTAATTTAGTTGATTTAGCAAAATCAACATACATAAACTAGTTGTGTTTCTATACATGTACAAAGAACTATCTGAAAAATAAGGTAAGAAAACAAACTCACAACATAAAAAATTATAAAATGCTTAGAAATTTAACCAAGATGGTAAAAATCTGTCCACTGAAAACTTTACAATATAGATTACAAGACTGAAGAAGACACAAATAAATAGAAAGATACCTCATGCTCATAGATTGGAAGAATACATATTGGCAAAATATCCATAGTACCTAAAGTGATCTACATATTCAATGCAATTCCTATCAAAATTCCAGTGACATTTTTCACAGAAATAGAAAAAAATTAAAATTTGAATGGAACCCCAAAGACCCTGAATAGCTAAAACAATCTTGAGCAACAACCAAGCTATAGTCGTCACATTTCCTGATTTCAAATTATATTACAAAACTATAGTAATTAAAACAGTATGGTACTGGCATGAAAACAGACCAATGAAACAGAATAGAAAGCCCAGAAATAAACCCACTCATGTATGGTCAATGACTCTTTGAAAAGTTTCCAAGAATATATACAATGTGGAACAGCTAGTCCCTTCAATATATGGGGTTGGGAAAACAGGATATTCACGTGCAAAAGAATAAAATTGGACCCTTGTCTTAAACCACACACAAACATAAACTCAAAGTGGGTTAAAGACATAAAGGTAAGACCTGAAACTGTGAAACTCCTAGAAGAAAACAATATAGAAAAACTTCTTGATATTAGTCTCAAAAAATGTCTTTTGGATATGACATCAAAACAAAGGCAACAGAAGCAAAAATGAACAAGTGGGACTACATCAAACTAAAATGTTTTTGTATGTCAAACGAAACATACAATAAAATGAAAAGGCAACCTATGAAAAGGGAGAAAACATTTTCAAACCATGTATCCAATAAGGTGTTAATATGAAAATATAATAAAGAACTCATACAACTTAATAGAAAAAGAGACAAATAATTGATTAAAAATAAGCAAGGTCCTAAATAGGTATTTCTTAGAAGAAGACAAACAAATGGCCAAGGGATAATTAAAGCCAAAATGAAATATCACCTCACCTGTTAGAATCACTAAACTAAAGCTAACTGATCTTCATCAAGGTCATTAAGAATATACATTGGGGAAAAAACTCTCTTCCATTAATGCTTCTGAGAAAACTTGATAGCCATGTGCAGAAGAATGAAACTGGACCCCTATCTCTCACCATATACAAAATCAACTCAAGATGATGTAAAGACTTAGACATAAGTCTAAAACTATAAAACTACTAGAAGAAAACATAGTGGAAATTCTTCAGGGTATTAGTCTAAGCAAGGATTTTACTGGTAAGACCTTTCAGGGTATTAGTCTAGGCAAGGATTTTATTGCTAAGAACTCAAAAGCACAGGCAACAACAACAACAAAATAGACAAATGAGACTAAACTAAAAATACTTTGCACAGCTAAAGACACAACAGATTAAAGAGACAATGTTTTGAATGGGAGAAAACATTTGCAAACTACTCACTTGACAGGAAACTGACATCCAGAATATAAAAATAACTCAACAGCAAAAAAATAAAAATAAATTTAAAAAAGTCAAAGGACATATATAGACATTTCTCAAAAGAAGACATACAAATGGCCAACAGATATGTGAGAAAACACTAAATATCACTAATCGTTAGAATGACTACTTTCAAAGAGAAAAAACATAACAAGTTTTGGCAAGGATGAGGAGAAAAGAAAACTCTGGGAATTTAAATTAGTACAGTCACTATCAAAAACAGTATGGAGATATCTCAAAAAATTAAAACTAGAACTTCTATAGGATCCAGCAATCCCACTGCTGGGTATTTATCCAAACAAAGAGGGATTAATATATCAAAGAGATACATGCACTTCCTTGTTTATTACAGCACTAGTCACAATATAAAAAATATGGAATCAATCTAAGTGTCTATCAATGCACGAATGGATAAAGAAAATATGACGTATATATAACCTGATGAAATACCATTTGGCCATAATAAAAAAGAATGAAATTTTGTCATTTGCAGCAACATGGATGAAACTAGAGATTATTGTGTTAAGTGAAATAAGCCAGACACAGACAAACAAATATCCCATGTTCTCATTCATATGTGGGAAATAAAAAAACGATCCCCTGGAGGTGGAGAGTAGAATGATAGATACCAGAGGCTGGGAGAGGTGTATGGTTTTGAAGGGAGGGGTGATGAAGAGCAGTTGGTTTATGGGTACAAACATAGTTGGATAAAACGAATAAGTTTTAATGTTTGATAGCAGAGTAGGGTAACTGTAGTTAGCAACGATGCATTTTTCTAAATAGCTAGAAGAGGGGTCTTGAAATGTTCCCAACACATAGAAATGATAAATAATCAGGTGATTGATGCCCTAAATACCCTGACTTTATCATTGCACATTCGATGCATGTAACAAAATTTCACATGTACCCCATAGATACATACAAATGTAATGTATCAAAAATAAAAATATTTTTATGAAAGACAACAACTGTTAACAAGGATATGAAGAAGAACTCTTAAATGCTGTTGACAGGAATGTAAATGTGTAAAGCCATTATGGAAACAATAAGAAGGCTACACAAAAAATTAAAAACAGGATCACCGCATAATCTGGTAACCCCAGTTTGGATATTTATCCAAAGGAAGTAAATTCATTATCTTAAAGAGATACCTGAACTTCCATGTTCATTGTGGTATTTTTCATAATAGCCAAGATATGGCAACAACTTAAATATCCACTGATGAATGGTTAAAGAAAATATGACATAAGAAGAAAATTCTGCCATTGTATCAATATGGATGAACCCAGAGAACATTATGGTAAGTGAAATAAGTTAGTCACAGAAAGACAAATACTGTATAATCACACAAGAGGTTTAACATTCTCTTGTTAAAAGTATTACATTGCTTCTAAAATTTGGCTATTAAAAATTGTTAAATAGCATTGTTTGTGCTTTTTTGTGTAGTTATATTTCTAGGTATCAAACTAGAAATTATATTGCAGAGAAAAATAATTTATTACTTCTAAATTGCTCGAGAGAGGTTGTATGAGTTTAATCTCTCGTAAATCAAAACTTAATATGATCAAAGTTTAAAGTGTCTTGTTTTTATCAATGAAAACTATTATTTCTTTGTTGTTCTAATTTTTATCCTACTTTCTAATGAGGTTGAGATTTATATAAATTGATCATTTATGTTTATTATTATTTTTAATTTTTTGTAGCTCCATTGTTAATTATTTATATTAATGTATAGAAAGTATTTATATAATTTAAATACCGAAGAATACAATGAATGAAACAAAAAATGCAATTTACATAGCACATAGATATAGAATCTTGGGGGTAGGAACAGTCTTTCTCAAATAGCAAAAATGCCATAATGAAAATGAATTATTATTATTAACTTACCTAAATTAAACAACAAATTTATGGAACAAGGACTTCACAAAATTCAAAACAAATGAAATATTTTGAGAATACATTTGTGTGTATGTATATACATATGTACTCAAAATATACAATGTATGCTAAATACTAATTTTTGGCTATTAAATTTTGCTATATTTGTACTATGGAATACTTTTTCACAGTTGACAATAGATAGCTAGATCCATATAAAGTTCCTTGGATAGCTTCCCAAGATATATTATAAAAAATATGTATATGTTACAACATATAATATATCCTTTAAAAAGACACCTAAACACAGTAACATATATTTATATCAGTACACATACGCATAGATATGTGTCTAAATGTATCACATGAAACTAACATATATGATCAGCTCCAGAAAATAAATATGGAACTGGAATTAGATTGGAAGCCAACAGAGAGAATTAATCATCCTCTGTAACGGATTTTGTGCTTATTTGCTTGTGTCTCTTCATATGTTAATTATGTAATTAAAAAGTCATTTAAAAATAAAATTTTGTACTCAGGAAGCTGAGGCAGGAGAATGGCGTGAACCCGGAAGGAGGAGCTTGCAGTGAGCCGAGATCACGCCACTGCACTCCAGCCTGGGTGACAGAGTGAGACTCCGTCTCAAAAAAAAATAAAATTATATTATGAATTTAACTTTATGCACCTTATTTGGATGTTGAACCAAATTTATTTACTTATTTATAAATATTATAGAGGTGAGAACTCTCTGTGTTTTCCAAACTGGTCTCAAACTCCTGGGCTCAAGTGATCCTCCCGCCTCAGCCTCCCAAAATGTTGGGATTACAGATGCGGGCCACCACACCTGGTCTGAAACCAAATTTCTCTTTGACTGTTTTATTTTTATTATTTTTGCAAAATTAAATGTAAAATCCTTGGCTTTGGGCTGTAAAATATAGGCAATACATAGCTATGTTGCTAATAACATACACTCTTCGTTAGTACAATGACTATGTTCTTGATAAGCATGGAGTGAGCTAATAAGGGAGACGGAAGGAAATGAGGATAGGTGATAACACTATGCTGTCAGGGAAATCAGTCTTTCACTGCCCCAGCTGCTGACCTCAGCTGTGTTCCACTGACCTCTGTTAACAACATTTCTTTATTCTTTTTTAGTTTTTTGAATTGATACTTTGTAATTGTACACATTTATGTGGTACAATTTGATGTTTTGATACATGCATTCATTGTATAACATTTTTCTCTAGTCTGCAGGAAGGGTTTGGAATTTCTTCCAGTCTGTGTGATGAGCCACTGAAAACTCTATTCTCTGTGAGATGTACTGAGACTGATGCTTTGTCAGCATTCGGTGATGGTCATGAAGCCTTTGTGCTGAAACTTGGCTAAGGAGCCCCCTGGAGTCTTCTCACAGATCCTTGTCAGTGCTTCAGCTGTCTCAAACACAAGCCGCTTAGTTGTGCTGCTTTACATTACAAAAGCAACTTGTAAACAGGTTGAAGGTAAAAGCATGTTTTCCACATTTTTAAAGATTTTTTAAGATTTTCAAAAACAATTTGTTCAAAAGCAGATTTTGTATCAATATGTTTATATTTCTTAAGAACTACTTGCTTATAATTTGGCAAAGTGGGGAGAAAACACCATCAAATAATTCCACTTGGAGGGAGGAGGTATCCTTTAAACATTCTCACACAAGGCACACAAACCGCATAGCTGACCCGGGTGCTTCCCTTTCCCCGGAGGAGCGCAGCTTTAATTTTCTCTCACGTTCTAATCTTCTGCCTATGTTGCTGCTGACCAAATTCAACTGGAAGCAAGAAGGGAGAACACAGCATACAGAAGTCAGCCTCCCAGGGCTGGGCTTGGGGTAAAGGATAGAGACTGGAGCAAAATGAACAAAATGAGAATACCCAGTGCGTATCCTCAGCTGGATTCACATTTTAAGGTCAGATTGCCAATGACGAAGGAAAAACCAAAATTCTGCCAAAATATTTTAAGATTTTTACTCTGAGCCAATATGAGTGACTGTGGCTCAGGTAACACAGTCTCAAGAGGTCCTAAGAAAGAGCACCCAAGTGGTGGGGTTACAGTTTAGTTTTATACATTTCAGGGAGATGGGATTTGCAGGCAAAATCATAAATCAATATATGGAAGGTATACATTGGTTCAACTTGAAAAGGTGGGACATCTTGAAGTGGGAATTTACAAGTCATAGGTGGGTTTTAGAATTCTTATTTGGCAATTGGTTGAAAGAGTTCAGCTTTGTCTAAAGACTTGGTACCATTCCTTCTGAAACTATTCCAAGCAATAGAAAAAGAGGGAATCCACCCTAACGCATTTTATGAGGCCAGCATCATCCTGATACCAAAGTCTGGCAGAGACACAACCAAAAAAGAGAATTTTAGACCAATATCCTTGATGAACATCAACACAAAAATCCTCAATAAAATACTGGCAAACCGAATCCAGCAGCACATCAAACAGCTTATCCACCATGATCAAGTGGGCTTCATCCCTGGGATGCAAGGCTGGTTCAACATACACAAATCAATAAATGTAATCCAGCATATAAACAGAACCAAAGACAAAAAACACGTGATTATCTCAACAGATAAAGAAAAGGCCTTCAACAAAATTCAACAACCCTTCATGCTAAAAACTCTCAATAAATTAGGTATTGATGGGTCATATCTCAAAATAATAAGAGCTATCTATGACAAACCCACAGCCAATATCATACTGAATGGGCAAAAACTGGAAGCATTCCCTTTGAAAACGGGCACAAGACAGGGATGCCCCCTCTCACCACTCCTATTCAACATAGTGTTGGAAGTTCTGGCCAGGGCAATCAGGCAGGAGAAGGAAATAAAGGGTATTCAATTAGGAAAAGAGGAAGTCAAATCGTCCCTGTTTGCAGATGACATGATTGTGTATCTAGAAAACCCCATCATCTCAGCCCAAAATCTCCTCAAGCTGATAAGCAACTTCAGCAAAGTCTCAGGATACAAAATCAATGCACAAAAATCACAAGCATTCTTATACACCAATAACAGACAAACAGAGAGCCAAATCATGAGTGAACCCCCATTCACAGCTGCTTCAAAGAGAATGTAATACCTGGGAATCCAACTTACAAGGGATGTGAAGGACCTCTTCAAGGAGAGCTACAAACCACTGCTCAATGAAATAAAAGAGGACACAAACAAATGGAAGAACATTCCATGCTCATGGGTAGGAAGAATCAATATCGTGAAAATGGCCATACTGCCCAAGGTAATTTATAGATTCAATGCCATCCCCATCAAGCTACCAATGACTTTCTTCACAGAATTGGAAAAAACTACTTTAAAGTTCATATGGATCCAAAAAAGAGCCCGCATCACCAAGTCAATCCTAAGCCAAAAGAACAATGCTGGAGGCATCACGCTACCTGACTTCAAACTACACTACAAGGCTACAGTAACCAAAACAGCATGGTACTGGTACCAAAACAGAGATATAGATCAATGGAACAGAACAGAGCCCTCAGAAATTATGCCGCATGTCTACAACTATCTGATCTTTGACAAACCTGAGAAAAACAAGCAATGGGGAAAGGATTCCCTATTTAATAAATGGTGCTGGGAAAACTGGCTAGCCATATGTAGAAAGCTGAAACTGGATCCCTTCCTTACACCTTATACAAAAATTAATTCAAGATGGATTAAAGACTTAAATGTTACACCTAAAACCGTAAAAACCCTAGAAGAAAACCTAGGCAATACCATTCAGGACATAGGCATGGGCAAGGACTTCATGTCTAAAACACCAAAAGCAATGGCAACAAAAGCCAAAATTGACAAATGGGATCTAATTAAACTAAAGAGCTTCTGCACAGCAAAAGAAACTACCATCAGAGTGAACAGGCAACCTACAGAATGGGAGAAAATTTTTGCAACCTACTCATCTGACAAAGGGCTAATATCCAGAATCTACAATGAACTCAAACAAATTTACAAGAAAAAAAAAAAAAAACCCATCAAAAAGTGGGCAAAAGATATGAACAGACACTTCTCAAAAGAAGACATTTATGCAGCCAAAAAACACATGAAAAAATGCTCATCATCACTGGCCATCAGAGAAATGCAAATCAAAACCACAATGAGATACCATCTCACACCAGTTAGAATGGCAATCATTAAAAAGTCAGGAAACAACAGGTGCTGGAGAGGATGTGGAGAAATAGGAACACTTTTACACTGTTGGTGGGACTGTAAACTAGTTTAACCATTGTAGAAGTCAGTGTGACGATTCCTCAGGGATCTAGAACTAGAAATACCATTTGACCCAGCCATCCCATTACTGGGTATATACCCAAATGATTATAAATCATGCTTCTATAAAGACACATGCACATGTATGTGTATTGCGGCACTATTCACAATAGCAAAGACTTGGAACCAACCTAAATGTCCAACAACAATAGACTGGATTAAGAAAATGTGGCACATATACACCATGGAATACTATGCAGCCATAAAAAAGGATAAGTTCATGTCCTTTGTAGGGAGATGGATGAAACTGGAAACCATTATTCTCAGCCAACTATCGCAAGGACAAAAAACCAAACACCGCATGTTCTCACTCATAGGCGGGAATTGAACAATAAGAACACATGGACACAGGAAGGGGATATATCACACACCGGGGACTGTTGTGGGTTGGGGGGAGGGGGGTGGGATAGCATTAGGAGATATACCTAATGCTAAATGACGAGTTAATAGGTGCAGCACACCAACTTTGCACATGTATACATATGTAACAGGTCTGCACGTTGTGCACATGTACCCTAAAACTTAAAGTATAATTAAAAAAAAAAAACAAACTTGGGCTCAGTAGAAAGGAATGCGTAAGCTGAGTAAAGGGAGTCTGCTATCTGTCATGTGCTGCCATAGCAGAGTCAGGTTGAAAAGTCGTCCACAATATTCCAAGTCAAAAAAAACAAACAAACAAACAACAATAACAACAAAAACCTGCTTAATGAGATTTTATGGTATGTAAGACGTGACTCCCCAGGTCCCTTAGAAAGGAATTTGAGCGAGAAAAAATGATCAGAGTTCAGTCCTCACCAAATTGCACTTTACTAGAATAGTTTATTCAGAATTCAAGTGTATGGAAGGACTAACCTCAAGCCACTCTTGCCAGAATTTAATATTGCACTTATAAAGCTCTTCATTTATGGTGTCTGCTAACACATCCATCTATCAGCAATGGCACAGGAGGTTCAGGCAGCTCCTGTCACTTATCCACATGAGTGCAACTTCGAGGTGTGGGGGGTCACTGATCCTGCCTCACAGAGCATTCCCACTGCATGTGGAAACTGCACTCTGCCTAGTCTGTCTGTGACCCAGGAGGCTTCTGTCTTCTCTCAGCATTTCTGCAATTTAGCCTATTTCCAAAGCACTTGTCAGAGCTCTCTTATAAATGGAATTCTGCTTATGAATGTTTCCTAGTTCCAGAGTAAAAGGAGTTTACTGATTCTTGTGATCTTTGTTGCATGTGATTAGTTTGAGAGAACGAAAAGAAGCAGAATTAGTATTTTACTCTATTATTATCTGGGCAATCTACTATATTTTTATATAGCCATAACCTAGGTTTTATTTACGTGAAAAAATTGAAGGAAAAAAGTAGTTTGTTATGAATTGTAATCATTTGGATAAAAAAATTATAATTGACTGAGATCCCAGATTTGTTTTAAGATGTACATATCCTATATGTTATGCAAATAAAATAAGTGTTCCAATATAACTGTATATGCTAATAGACATACTATGTATACTGTCTGACAATTACGGAACAAAAAGCCAATAATTATCTACAATATAGAAATATACTTAATTCTGAATTTCTGAAGTCTTTTATTATTTACAACTCAGACTTACATCTTAATTTCTGAATTTTTAGGCAAATTATTGAAAGCATTATACATAATTAGACACTTAAATTTACTACCTTCCTCTATAAAAGTCAGATTCATTCTTTGACTAAGAACACCAAGCTTTATTCACTATACCAATAATAATAAAATGAAGGTATTGCACATCATAAGGTCTTACCTCTTTTTACCTCTTAATGAGTATTTGTGCACCTTAGTGATGACTAGCATTGCTCTGAATCAAGAACTGTATATTCACAGACATTCCAAGTTTGCCTCTTAACAGAAAATTTTAATTAATACAATCCAAAAACAATTTTTGCTTCTAAATATAAAATAATTGAATATTATAATACAAATTTTAGAATCAGACTATTATTTTAGAACACTCCATGTAATGGATCATCTACATACTTTAGAAAGTACAATTTCCAAGTGCAATATGCTCTTTGATGTGAAGGTGAATAATCAGGCTTCTCCGGTGGGTGGTCAGGACACATCACCTTCCACCTGGACTCGAGATTTCCAGCATTAACTCTGACTGGAAAACTTGGGCTGTGTCATGAAATAACCACAGTTGTCAGTGTCTGGATAACTTGAATTTAAGGTTGATCCAGGCCTTGAGGCAAGGTATCCAAGATTTCCTGAGTAGGGTTTTACTCTCAAGCAAAGCCCTTTCATACCATAGAAAACTATGGACCCTGAATTTATCCATGATCCCAATGCTGTCTTACCCAGGAATGTCATGTTATTTTGAAGCCAGAGAAAATGTCCAGAATCATTTTGCTGCACGATTTTGCTACTCTTACTCCCTAAGTAAGGTTAGATGGAATTACAGATCCTATATCTTATTTAAATTTCTGTGATTCTTTTCTTGTTTATTTTGTATTCTCCTTTATTTTTTTCTCTCTCTCTTTTCTTTAAACTTTAGGCTTGTTGACAGTATGTGGTGTCACTGACCTCTGCTTTAAAATGAAGAGAAAAAATCACAGAAATGGGAGTTTTCTTGATGATTTCTTGCTTTCGACATTAAAAACACATGCAAGCTTGAATACAAAAGAGCTAATTTAGTTAATCCAATTAACTTCATAATGCAAGTGCAACATATCATTAATGCTATTTCCTCCCATTTGTTTAATGGATTATCTAATTGGTTTAATATAAAAGAGTAGAACAAAATTAGAGTCAGATGTTAAGGGATTTTATTGAGAAAGTGTGGGATAGAAAAGAAATAACCCAGAATTCTGTAATGATAAAGCTAAGAGGTGAAATAAGTCTGATATTTCATAGATTTTTAACTAGATTTAATTCTAACAGAACTGAGTGGTGTCATTTACAGAAATTGCATGCAAGGCTGGTTCTGATGTGCCAGGTGCTCCTTACACATAGGTTCACAGGGCCTTAAGCCCATCTTTCCTTGAAGCTCAGGATTTAAGCAAATTTAGCTCCAAGTTATGGGGCTAGACATTGCAGCAAATTGACTGTCTTTGCTCCATTTCTCTTGCTCTTTTGATCTACCATTAAATTAATGCTGAATTTTGAAAACTAGGCTCTTGGGAATGCTTCTCCCCCCGCACACCAGGGTAATTGAGACATTTCTGCACTCTCTCTCTCACTTTCTATTTCTCTCCTTTTCCTCTTTATTTTGTTCATTTTGGAAATGAAAATACATACGTATGCAGTTTAAGTTTTCAGAGTACAAAATATTTTAAGTCAAAATTAAAAAACATATTTCTATATTCTGACAAAACACAGAAAACTTCTCCCAAAATTTTGGAGCTAAACTATAATGGTTCATTTTGGGTTTTTTTGGTATTTTTTGTTTGTTTGTTTAATTTTATGGGAAAAAATAATACAGGTGATTTATTTTCTGGGCCATTACATCCCGAATATGTCCTTTTGCCTATAGCCATTTTTGCTATATATAAAGAAATATCTGAGGCTGAGTAATTTACTTTTAAAAAAAGATTGAATTGGTTCACTGTTCTGCAGGCTGTATAGGAAGTATGGTGCCAGCATCTGCTTCTGGTGAGGACTTCAGAGAACTCACAATCATCGTGGAAGGTGAAGGGGGAGCAGGCATGTCACATGGAGAGTGAGTGGTGAGGGGGTAGTCCTAGGCTTTTGAACAACCAGATCTCACGTAAACTGAGTGAGAATTCACGTATCACCAAGGATATGGCACTAAACCATTCATGGGAGATCCGTCCCTGTGATGCAATCACCCCCCCTTAGCAGGCCCCACCTGCAACAATGGGATCACATTTCAACATGAGATTTGGAGGGGACACATATCCAAACCGTATCACCTTCTCACACTAGTCTTTCTATGGTTTAAATATAATCATTGCATGTAGTGTGTGTCTCTTTTAAAAAAAACTATTCAATCAGAAATTATTTGCCTTTAAACAAAGTAATTATGTACTTCTTAATTCTGCTCTTAGTTTGTCTTACATATATTTTACACTTTTACTTTTCCCATCTCTCAGCTTTTGCTAGACTACAACTAATCTTTGCCTGCTCTGGATGTTATTTTTTTCTCCTAATGGATACCCTCCATGTTTTACAAATTGTTACCGGTCTTTATTTTTCTAACAATCTCGAAAATTAGTCCAGGCAAGCAAGAATAGAAGAATGTAGAATTATTGCCTTCCCTTATTTCATGTGAGTTTTTTTTTTAATCTTCTGAAATTTGAGTTCCAGATTATTACTTGTGTTTATGTCAGCAATTTGTGCATCATGCCTCTTTCACTTTATAAATATGCTTGACAAATGCATTAAGCATCACACTTATATGATCAAAAGTATGTTTCTTATACTTAAAAAAAAAATCAACTGATATGTTAGCTAACGTATACTGCAACTTGTGGTTCAGATTAAACTTAGATGACCTCTCCCAGGTGTGGTAGAAGGATGGTGCGGGGGTGTTAAAGGCAGTGGTAGTGCCTCACAGCTGCCCTGCAACTTTTGGATCAAAACTCTACTTTAGTTGATTGCCAGATTCGTCCAATGTAGGATTCATCTGGTCAGTCTGGGTGCAGCGCAGTTCTGTATCATGTCAAACATCAATCCCTCAGAATCTCCCACATGAGGAATTGTATCTGAGCATACTTTGCTAATTGTTTGGGTTGGTAATCAGCTTAAAGTAGCCACAAAATACAGCTCTTCTAACATTCACATCTACTCACCTTCTCCCCCTTGCCCTCCTTGCATAATCTCTGCTTGGTCCAGGCTTCATTTACCTAAGTGTCTTATAAATACACTTCCTAAGTAATTTATAACGAGTCTTATCCTACAGGAGAAGAAACACACAAGCGGACCCTTAAAAGTTTTTATGTTCCCCTTCTCTTTCCAGTCTAGTATGTACGAGAAAAAATTGTAGGATGTGTGTCATAACTCATCAACACAACCCTCTACTGCTATACGTAAGAGGTAAGTATGATCAGTGTGTATTTCTTTCTCATTATTAAAATTGTACCTCATGACTTTCCTATTTTATTATTTTTAAAATTTTTCATTATTACATTATTTACATTATTACTAAACTGAGAAATCTATTTCTGATTCCAAAATTTGTGCATTGTGGTGTTCCTATTGAGTCACAATATGACTTAAACTTATACCTTAATGGAAGTTTGGCTGGGAATGTAGAATAATAAATTAAAATTATATATTTTTTCTATGAGTTCTATATAATGTTTTCATTGCCTTATTGCATTTATCCTGTGCCAAGCTAGTTACTGTTTTTTTGCAAGTGCTTGTTTATTTTCTTTCCTCTCTGAAAGTTTATAGGAGGTTCTCTTGGTTTTCCTTATCCTATCAAGTGAGAATTTCCTCAATATTCAATTAACATATTCCATCTGAGTACTGCATCTATTCTTAGTTCAGTGAAGTTTTCTTCCCTGGCTTCTTTGATAGCATCCTTTTCTTTTGTCTTCTTTATATTTTCTCATATGTTCTTACAATATAGAGTACTGTTCTATATCTTGCATGTATCCTATATTTCCCTTCAAATTTTGTCTCCTAATTTTGAACTCTTTCTGTTATTTTAAGGTATGGTAGAATGGCCATGTTTGATATTCTTTATATCTAATTCAATTTTCAGAAATATAATTTTTATTATGTTTTTGAATTTGTGTTCCTAATATTTAAGATGTTTTTCCCTCTCAGTTTCTTTTTAACAGTGTATTATTGCTTTTAAGTATAATGTCCTCTCAAATTTTTTTCTGAAAATACTATCTAGAAGATAACATGAGGCAACCTACTGCCCTTGGGTATTGTGCTGACATTTTGGTTACAATAACGAAGGTACAATTCATGAAAAACAAATTTGGCTGGAATTAAAATTAAAAACTTTTTCTTGAAGGATGAGAAAAAACATACAAAAGATCAATGAATCTAGTAGTTTGTTCTTTGAAGGAATAATAAGATTAATAGCCCATTAGTTATAATAACAAAGAAAAAAGAGAAGATCCAAATAAACACTATCAGAAATGACAAAGGAGACATTACCACTGACCCCACAGAGACACAAAATATCCCTCAGAAGCACCTATTCACACATACTAGAAAACGTAGGAGAAATGGATAAATTCCTGGAAACATACAACCTCCCAAGATTTAACCAGGAAGAAACTGAATTCCTGAATAAACAGTAATGAGCTCTGAAATTGAATCAGTAATAAAAAGCCTACCAACCAAAAAAAGGCCAGGGCCAAATGGATTCACAGCTGAAGTCTACCAGATGTATAAAGCAGAGCTGTTTCCATTCCTACTGAAACTATTTCAAAAACTTGATGAGAAGGAACTCCTCTCTAACTCATTCTATGAGGCCAGCATCATCCCAATACCAAAACCTGGAAGACACACAACAAGAAAATAAAACTTCAGGCCAATATCCCTGATGAACATAGAAGCAAAAACCCTCAACAAAATACTGTCAAACTGAATCCAACAGCACATCAAAAAGCTAATCTAATGCAATCAAGTAGGCTTTATGCCTGGAATGAAGGTTGGTTCAACACATGTAAAACATGTTTTTCCCTCTCAGTTTCTTTTTAACAGTGTATTATTGCTTTTAAGTATAATGTCCTCTCAAAAATTTTACAAGTGATTCATCACATAAACAGAACTAAAAACAAAACCATATGATTGTCTCAACAGATGCAGAAAAGGCCTTCAATAAAATTCAGCATGCTTCATGTTAAAAGCCCTCAACAAACCAGGCATTAAAGGAACATACCTCAAAATAATAAGATCCATCTATGACAAACCCACAGCCAACCTTATATGGAATAAGCAAAAGTTTGAAGCATTTGCCTTGAGAATAAGACAAGGATGCCCCTGATCACCACTCATATTCAACATAGTACTAGAAATCCTAGCCAGAGCAGACAGGCAAGAGAAAGAAATAAAAGGCATCCAAACAAGAAGAGATGAAGTTAAACTATTTATGTTTGGAGAAAAGATGATTTTATACCTAGAAAACTGCATACTCTGCCTAAAAGCTCCTAGATCTGAATAACTTCAGCAAAATTTCAGGATATAAAATCAGTACACAAAAATCAGTAACATTTCTATAGAACAACATCCAAGCTGAAAGCCAAATCAAGGACACAATGCCATTCACAATAGCTACAAAAATAATAAAATACCTAGGAATACAGCTGACCAGGGAGGTGAGAGATCTCTACAACAATAATTTCAAAACACTGCTGAAAGAAATTAGACATGATACAAACAAATGAAAAAACATTCCATGCTCAATGATAGAATCAATATTGATAAATGACCATACTGCCCAAAGCACTTCACAGATTCAATGCTATTCCTATCAAACAACAAATGACATTTCTCCACAGAATTAGAAAAAAAAAACTATTTTAAAATTCATAGCAAACATAAAAAGAGCCCAAATACCCAATCCTGAGCAAAAAAAAAAAAAAAAAAAAAAAAGCTGGATACATCACATCACTCAGCTTCAAATTATACTGTTAATACAAGGCTGCAGTGACCACAACAGCATAGTATTAGTATAAAAACAGACACATAGACCAATAGAACACAATAGAGAGCCCAAAAGTAAAGCCACATATTTACAACTATCTGATATTTGAAAAAGTCAGTACAAAGAAGCAATAGAGAAAAAAACTCCCTATTCAATAAATAGTGCTGGTATAACTGGATAGCCATATGCAGAAGATTGCAACTGGGCATCTTCCTTATATCACCTACAAAAATAAATTCAAGATGAATTAAAGGCTTAAATTTAAAACCTAAAACTATTAGGTTGGTGCAAAAGTAATTGCTGGGCCGGGCCTGGTGGTTCACGCTTGTAATCCCAGCACTTTGGGAGTCTGAGACGGGTGGATCACAACGTCAGGAGTTCAAGACCAGCCTG
This sequence comes from Homo sapiens, assembly GCF_000001405.40. Taxonomy (NCBI): domain Eukaryota; kingdom Metazoa; phylum Chordata; class Mammalia; order Primates; family Hominidae; genus Homo; species Homo sapiens. The sequence continues at coordinate 233,339 of NW_025791781.1, read as the reverse complement.
GCCAAGATGGTGAAATCCCCCCTCTCTACTAAAACTACAAAAATTAGCCACGTGCAGTGGCAGGTGCCTGTAATCCCAGCTACTGAGGAGGCTGAGGCAGGAGAATCACTTGAACCTGGGCGGCAGAGGCTGCAGTGAGCCAAGATCATGCCACTGCACTCCAGCCTGGTCGACAGAGTGAAATGGCAAAACAGCAGTTATTTTTGCACCAACCTAATACAGAAACACAAGAAGATAACCTAGAAAATACCATTCTGGAAACAGGAACAGGCAAAGATGCCAATAGCAATTGCAAGAAAAATAAAAATTGACAAATGGGATCTTATAAAACTAAAGAGCTTCTGCACAGCAAAAGAAACCATCAACAGAGTAAACAGCCTACAGAATGAGAGAATTGGCAGTTTCTTACAAAAATTACATACTCTTACTATACAACCCAGCAATCATGCTCCTTGGCACTTACCAAAATTAGCTGAAATTTATGTCCATGCAAAAACCTGCATATGAATGTTTATAGCAGCTTTATTCATATGTACCAAGATACCCTTCAGTAGGTGAATGGATAAAGTGTGGTACATCCAGACAATGGAATATTATTCAATGCTAAGGAGATACGAGCTATGAAGTCATGAAAACACATGGAGGAAACTTAAATACGTATTGTTAAGTGAAAGAAGCAAATCTGAAAAGGCTACAAAATGTATAATTTCAATTATATGCAACTGTGGAAGAGGCAAAACTATGGCGATATTACAAGGATCAATGGTGTCAGGTGCTGGGTGGGGGATGTGTAGGTGAAACACGGAGAATTTATAGAGGAATGAAACTATTCTGTATGATACAATGGTGGATACATGTCATTATACATTTGTCCAGACCTCTAGAATATATATTACCAAGAGTGAACCCTAAAGTATGGTACATAGCTTAGGCAATTATGGTGTGTCAATGTAGGCTCATCAATTCTGACAAATGCAGCACTCTGGTGGGGGATGTTGATAATGGCATAGGCTATGCATAGAGAAGTTAGAGGGATATGGGAAACCTCTGTACTTCTGCTCAATTTTGTTGTGAACCTAAAACTGAGCTAAAAAACTTATATAAGAAATAATATTAATAATTTTATAATAAATAAGTCATGAAAAGACATGGATGAATCTTAAATGCATATTGCTTAGTGAAACAGCCAGTCTGAAAAGGCTACACACTGTGTGATTACAACTCTATGACATTCTGGAAAACACAAAATTACAGAGACAGTAAATAGATCAGTTGTTTCAAGGGATTTGGGAGGGTGAAGTTAAGTATGTGAAGGACAGGAGATTCTTTGAGATTGTAAAACTATTCTATATGATATAATGATGAGTATAATACATTAAGTATGTGTCAAAATCCATAAATATTTTTTGTTTGTTTTCTTCACTATCATTTATTTTTATTTATTTATATTTAAATATAGATATATTTAAATATTTTGTTTGTATTATTTCATTTTTCATTGTATAAACACATAACATGAACTCTACACACTTAACAAATTTTTAAGTACACAATATAATATTGTTGAATCTAGGCCCAGTGTCATACAGTTCTCTAGAACTTATTCATCTTCATACCCATCGAACATTAACTCCCCATTTCACCTCTTACCTGTTCCTGGCTACTACCATCCTACTCTGTTTCTATGAGTCTGACTATTTAAGATACCTCATACAAGTTAAATCATGCAGTATTTGTCCTTCTGTAACTAGTTTATTTCACTTGGAATGATGTCTTCCAGGTTCATCCATGGCATTGCATATGGCAGAATTTCTTTCTCTTTTTTTTTTTTTTTTTTTTGAGACGGAGTCTCGCTCTGTCGCCCAGGCTGGAGTGCAGTGGCGCGATGTCGGCTTACTGCAAGCTCCGCCTCCCGGGTTTACGCCATTCTCCTGCCTCAGCCTCATGAGTAGCTGGGACTACAGGCGCACACCACCGCACCCGGCTAATTTTTTGTATTTTTAGTAGAGACGGGGTTTCACCGTGTTAGCCTGGATGGTCTCGATCTCCTGACCTCGTGATCTCCCTGCCTTGGCCTCCCAAAGTGCTGGGATTACAGGCTCTTACTCTTTTTAAGACTGAATATTATTCCATTGTATCTGGGTATGACATTTTTTTCTCCATTCATACATCAGGGAACATTTATGTTGTTGCCATATCTCGACTATTGTGAATAATTTTGCAGTGAACATGGGAGTGCAGATATCTTTCCAAGATATATGTTTGTTTACATCTTTTCAGATATGTATACACACATACATTTCTTTATTCTGTCAGTTGACAGGGCCTGGAAACAATACCCTGGAGACAGTCTAGTGCCTTGATCTTGGTTTCTAACATATTTCTCCAATAAAAAATATCAGGAATCCTTGGAGAAATGGCTGATTCTAGTACTGTGGTAGGAAATCCACAAGATGAATCTGGATTACCTTGTTGTGCCAGAAAGTAAAATAGTGCTAACAAACAAACAGAAAAGACACACAAAGATACAAGCATATCAAAGGAACTCAGAAGCAAACTGAAGAGCTCCAAGGGGCCAAATTTGAAACAATTGGAGCAAGAAAACGAAGTAGTATTTGAAGTATAACGTTAAATATAAAATAAGTATCCATATGTCAATATAGATATAAATAAATGGTTGAATAAATAAAAACAAACAAAATGGAGAAAGGAGAAATCTTTCTTTTTTATTATACTTTAAGTTTAGGGTGCATGTGCACAAGGTGCAGGTTTCTTACATATATATACATGTGCCATGTTGCTGTGCTGCACCCATTAACTCATCATTTAACATTAGGTATATCTCCAAATGCTATCCCTCCCCCCTCCCCCCACCCCACAACAGTCCCTGGTGTGTGATGTTCCCCTTCCTGTGTCCATGTGTTCTCATTGTTCAATTCCCATCTATGAGTGAGAACATGTGGTGTTTGGTTTTTTGTCCTTGCGATAGTTGGCTGAGAATGATGGTTTCCAGCTTCATCCATGTCCCTACAAAGGACATGAACTCATCCTTTTTTATGGCTGCACAGTATTCCATGGTGTATATGTGCCACATTTTCTTAATCCAGTCTATCGTTGTTGGACATTTGAGTTGGTTCCAAGTCTTTGCTATTGTGAATAGTGCCGCAATAAACATACGTGTGCATGTGTCTTTCTAGCAGCATGATTTATAATCCTTTGGGTATATACCCAGTAATGGGATGGCTGGGTCAAATGGTATTTCTAGTTCTAGATCCCTGAGGAATTGCCACACTGACTTCCACAATGGTTGAACTAGTTTACAGTCCCACCAACAGTGTAAAAGTGTTCCTATTTCTCCACATCCTCTCCAGCTCCTGTTGTTTCCTGCCTTTTTAATGATCACCATTCTACTGGTGTGAGATGGTATCTCATTGTGGTTTTGATTTGCATTTTTCTGATGGCCAGTGATGATGATCATTTTTTCATGTGCCTTTTGGCTGCATAAATGTCTTCTTTTGAGAAGTGTCTGTTCATATCCTTCGCCCACTTTTTGATAGGGTTGTTTGTTTTTTTCTTGTAAATTTGTTTGAGTTCATTGTAGATTCTGGATATTACCCTTTGTAAGATGAGTAGATTGCAAAAATTTTCTCCCATTCTGTAGATTGCCTGTTCACTCTGATGGTAGTTTCTTTTGCTGTGCAGAAGCTCTTTAGTTTAATTAGATCCCAATTGTCAATTTTGGCTTTTGTTGCCATTGCTTTTGGTGTTTTAGACATGAAGTCCTTGCCCATGCCTATGTCTTGAATGGTATTGCCTAGGTTTTCTTCTAGGGTTTTTATGGTTTTAGGTGTAACATTTAAGTCTTTAATCCATCTTGAATTAATTTTTGTATAAGGTGTAAGGAAGGGATCCAGTTTCAGCTTTCTACATATGGCTAGCCAGTTTTCCCAGCACCATTTATTAAATAGGGAATCCTTTCCACATTGCTTGTTTTTCTCAGGTTTGTCAAAGATCAGATAGTTGTAGATATGTGGTATTATTTCTGAGGGCTCTGCTCTGTTCCATTGATCTATATCTCTGTTTTGGTACCAGTACCATGCTGTTTTGCTTACTGTACCCTTGTAGTATAGTTTGAAGTCAGGTAGCGTGATGCCTCCAGCTTTGTTCTTTTGGCTTAGGATTGACTTGGTGATGCGGGCTCTTTTCTGGATCCATATGAAGTTTAAAGTAGTTTTTTCGAATTCTGTGAAGAAAGTCATTGGTAGCCTGATGGGGATGGCATTGAATCTATAAATTACCTTGGGCAGTATGGCCATTTTCACGATATTGATTCTTCCTACCCATGAGCATGGAATGTTCTTCCATTTGTTTGTGTCCACTTTTATTTCATTGAGCAGTGGTTTGTAGTTCTCCTTGAAGAGGTCCTTCACACCCCTTGTAAGTTGGATTCGTAGGTATTTTATTTGCTTTGAAGCAATTGTGAATGGGAGTTCACTCATGATTTGGCTCTCTGTTTGTCTGTTATTGGTGTATAAGAATGCTTGTGAGTTTTGCACATTGATTTTGTATCCTGAGACTTTGCTGAAGTTGCCTATCAGCTTGAGGAGATTTTGGGCTGAGACGATGGGGTTTTCTAGGTATACAATCATGTCATCTGCACACAGGGACAATTTGACTTCCTCTTTTCCTAATTGAATACCCTTATTTCCTTCTCCTGCCTGATTGCCCTGGCCAGAACTTCTAACACTATGTTGAATAGCAGTGGTGAGAGAGGGCATCCCTGTCTTGTGCCAGTTTTCAAAGGCAATGCTTCCAGTTTTTGCCCATTCAGTATGATATTGGCTGTGGGTTTGTTATAAATAGCTCTTATTATGTTGAGATACGTCCCATCAATACCTAATTTATTGAGAGTTTTTAGCATGAACTGTTGTTGAATTTTGTTGAAGGCCTTTTCTTTATCTATTGAGATAATCATGTGGTTTTTGTCGTTGGTTCTGTTTATATGCTGGATTACATTTATTGATTTCTATATGTTCAGCCAGGCTTGCATCCCAGGGATGAAGCCCACTTGATCATGGTGGATAAGCTTTTTGATGTGTTGCTGGTTTCGGCTTGCCGGTATTTTATTGAGGATCTTTGCGTCAATGTTCATCAGAGATATTTTTCTAGAATTCTCTTTTTTTGTTGTGTCTCTGCCAGGCTTTGGTATCAGGATGATGCTGGCCTCACAAAATGAGTGAGGGAGGATTCCCTCTTTTTCTATTGATTGGAATAGTTTCAGAAGGAATGGTACCAGCTCCTCCTTGTACCTCTGGTAGAATTCGGCCGTGAATCCATCTGGTCCTGGACTTTTTTTGGTTGGTAAGCTATTGATTATTGCCACAATTTCAGAGCGTGTTATTGGTCTATTCAGAGATTCAACTTCTTCCTAGTTTAGTCTTGGGAGGGTGTATGTGTCGAGGAATTTATCCATTTCTTCTAGATTTTCTAGTTTATTTGCGTAGAGGTGTTTGTAGTATTCTCTGATGGTATTTTGTATTTCTGTGGGATCGGTGGTGATATCCCTTTTATCATTTTTTATTGTATCTATTTCATTCTTCTCTCATTTCTTCTTTATTAGTCTTGCTAGCAGTCTATCAATTTTGTTGATCTTTTCAAAAAACCAGCTCCTGGATTCATTAATTTTTTGAAGGGTTTTTTTGTGTCTTATTTCCTTCAGTTCTGCTCTGATTTTAGTTATTTCTTGCCTTCTGCTAGCTTTTGAATGTGTTTCCTCTTGCTTTTCTAGTTCTTTTAATTGTGATTTTAGGGTGTCAATTTTGGATCTTTCCTGCTTTCTCTTGTGGGCATTTAGTGCTATAAATTTCCCTCTACACACTGCTTTGAATGTGTCCCAGAGATTCTGGTATGTTGTGTCTTTGTTCTCGTTGGTTTCAAAGAACATCTTTATTTCTGCCTTCATTTCGTTATGTACCCAGTAGTCATTCAGGAGCAGGTTGTTCAGTTTCCATGTAGTTGAGTGGTCTTGAGTGAATTTCTTAATCCTGAGTTCTAGTTTGATTGCACTGTGGTCTGAGAGACAGTTTGTTATAATTTCTGTTCTTTTACATTTGCTGAGGAGTGCTTTGCTTCCAACTATGTGGTCAATTTTGGAATAGGTGTGGTGTGGTGCTGAAAAGAATGTATATTCTGTTGATTTGGGGTGGAGAGTTCTGTAGATGTCTATTAGGTCCGCTTGGTGCAGAGCTGAGTTCAGTTCCTGGGTATCCTTGTTAACTTTCTGTCTCGTTGATCTGACTAATGTTGACAGTGGTGTGTTAAAGTCTCCCATTATTATTGTGTGGGAGTCTAAGTCTCTTAGTAGGTCTCTGAGGACTTGCTCTATGAATCTGGGTGCTCCTGTATTGGGTGCATATATACTTAGGATAGTTAGCTCTTCTTGTTGAATTGATCCCTTTACCATTATGTAATGGCCTTCTTTGTCTCCTTTGATCTTTGTTGGTTTAAAGTCTGTTTTATTAGAGACTAGGATTGCAAGCCCTACCTTTTTTTGTTTTCCATTTGCTTGGTAGATCTTCCTCCATCCCTTTATTTTGAGCCATGATCAAGTGGGCTTCATCCCTGGGATGCAAGGCTGGTTCAACATACACAAATCAATAAATGTAATCCAGCATATAAACAGAACCAAAGACAAAAACCACATGATTATCTCAACAGATGCAGAAAAGGCCTTTGATTAAATTCAACAATCCTTCATGCTAAAAACTCTCAATAAATTAGGTATTGATGACAAGTATCTCAAAATAATAAGAGCTATCTATGACAAACCCACAGCCAATATCACACTGAATGGGCAAAAACTGGAAGCATTCCCTTTGAAAACTGGCACAAGACAGGGATGCCCTCTCTCACCACTCCTATTCAACATAGTGTTTGAAGTTCTGGCCAGGGCAATTAGGCAGGAGAAGGAAATAAAGGGTATTCAATTAGGAAAAGAGGAAGTCAAATTGTCCCTGTTTGCAGATGATATGATTGTATATCTAGAAAACCCCATTGTCTCAGCCCAAAATCTCCTTAAGCTGATAAGCAACTTCAGCAAAGTCTCAGGATACAAAATCAATGTACAAAAATCACAAGCATTCTTATACACCAATAACAGACAAACAGAGAGCCAAATCATGAGTGAACTCTCATTCACAATTGCTTCAAAGAGAATAAAATACCTAGGAATCCAGCTTACAAGGGATGTGAAGGACCTCTTCAAGGAGAACTACAAACCACTGCTCAATGAAATAAAAGAGGATAAAAACAAATGGAAGAACATTCCATGCTCATGGGTAGGAAGAATCAATATTGTGAAAATGGCCATACTGCCCAAGGTAATTTATAGATTCAATGCCATCCCCATCAAGCTACCAATGACTTTCTTCACAGAATTGGAAAAAACTACTTTAAAGTTCATATGGAACCAAAAAAGAGCCCGCATCACCAAGTCAATCTTAAGCCAAAAGAACAAAGCTGGAGGCATCATGCTACCTGACTTCAAACTATACTACAAGGCTACAGTAACCAAAGCAGCATGGTACTGGTACCAAAACAGAGATATAGATCAATGGAACAGAACAGAGCTCTCAGAAATAATGCCGCATATCTAGAACCATATGATCTTTGACAAACCTGAGAAAAACAAGCAATGGGGAAAGGATTCCCTATTTAATAAATGGTGCTGGGAAAACTGGCTAGCCATATGTAGAAAGCTGAAACTGGATCCCTTCCTTACACCTTATACAAAAATTAATTCAAGATGGATTAAAGACTTAAATGTTACACCTAAAACCATAAAAACCCTAGAAGAAAACCTAGGCAATACCATTCCGGTCATAGGCATGGCAAGGACTTCATGTCTGAAACACCAAAAGCAATGGCAACAAAAGCCAAAATTGACAAATGGGATCTGATTAAACTCAAGAGCTTCTGCACAGCAAAAGAAATTACCATCAGAGTGAACAGGCAACATATAGAATGGGAGAAAATTTTTGCAATCTACTCATCTGACAAAGGGCTAATATCCAGAATCTACAATGAACTCAAACAAATTTACAAGAAAAAAAAAAAAACAACCCCATCAAAAAGTGGGTGAAAGATATGAACAGATACTTCTCAAAAGAAGACATTTATGCAGCCAAAAGACACATGAAAAAATGCTCATCATCACTGGCCATCAGAAAAATGCAAATCAAAACCACAATGAGATACCATCTCACACCAGTTAGAATGGCAATCATTAAAAAGGCAGGAAACAACAGGTGCTGGAGAGGATGTGGAGAAATAGGAACACTTTTACACTGTTGGTGGGACTGTAAACTAGTTCAACCATTGTGGAAGTCAGTGTGGCAATTCCTCAGGGATCTAGAACTAGAAATACCATTTGACCCAGCCATCCCATTACTGGGTATATCCCCAAAGGGTTATAAATCATGCTGGTATAAAGACATATGCACACGTATGTTTATTGCAGCAGTATTCACAATAGCAAAGACTTGGAACCTACCCAAATGTCCAACAATGATAGACTGGATCAAGAAAATGTGACACATATACACCATGGAATACTATGCAGCCATAAAAAATGATGAGTTCATGTCCTTTGTAGGGAGATGGATGAAACTGGAAACCATCATTCTCAGCAAACTATTGCAAGGCCAAAAAACCAAACCCCGCATGTTCTCAATCATAGGTGGGAATTGAACAATGAGAACACATGGACACAGGAAGGGGAACATCACACACCAGGGACTGTTGTGGAGTTGGGGGAGGAGGGAGGGATAGCATTAGGAGATATACCTAATGCTAAATGACGAGTTAATGGGTGCAGCACACCAACATGGCACATGTATACATATGTAACAAACCTGCACATTGTGCACATGTACCCTAAAACTTAAAGTATAATAAAAAAAATTTCATCTTTTTTTATAATAAAAAAAATTTCCTGCTTTTGCTGTATACCAGAGGTTTTGATTACTTGTGTCACTATTATCATTCATTTCAAATAACTTTTGAATTTCCACCTTGATTTCATCATGAAACCAAAAATCATCAAGGAGAAGTTTGTTTAATTTTCCTGTATATGTATAGTTTTGAGGGTTCCTTTTGGGGTTGATTTCTAGTTTTATTCCACTCTTGTGTGAGAAGACACTTGATATGAGTTTAATTTTTAAAAGTTTATTGAGATTTGTTTTGTGACCTATCATATAGTCTGTCTTGGAGAATGTTCTACGTTCTGATGAGAAGAATGTATATTCTGCAGTTCTTGGGTAGAATGTTCTGTAAATATCTATTAGGTCCATTTGTTCTGGAATGTAGTTGAAGCCCATTATTTCTTTGCTAACTTTCTGTCTTGATGGTCTGTCTAGTGCTATTTAAGATTGTGATATCTTCTTGTTGGACTGATCCTTTTATCATTATATAATGACTTTCTTTGTCTTTTTTTACTGTTGTTGTTTTAAAGTTTGTTTTATCTGATAAAAGAATAGCTACTCCTGCTCACTTTTGGTCTCCATTTGTGAGCAGGAGTAGCTATTTTCCTGCTTTTTCCACCCTTTTACCTTGAGTTTATAGGAATTCTTACATGTTAGTTGAATCTCTTGAAGACGGCAGATATTTGGTTTGTGATTCTTTATCCATTCTGTCAGTCTACACATTTTAAGTGGAGCATTTAGGTCATTTATATTTAACATTAATATTGACATGTGAGATATTGTTCCATTTATCATGTTAAATTTTGTCTAGATGCTTTGTTTTTTTATCATGTCTTTTTTTATAGGCATTGTGAGTTTAATGCTTTCAAGAGATTCCATTTTTGTGTATATCAAGCTTTTGTTTCAAGATTTAGAACTCCTCTTATCATTCCTTGTAGGAATGACCTGGTAATAAATTTCCTCAGCATTTCTTTGTCTGAAAATGACTTTATATCTCCTTTGTTTATGAAAGTTGGTTTGGCTGGCTACAAAATTCCTGGCTGACAGTTATTCTGTTTAGGGAGGCTAACAATAGGACTCCTATCCCTTCTGGCTTGTAAGGTTTCTGCTGAGAAGTCTGCTGTTAGTCTCTGATATGTTTTACTTTATAGGTTACCTGATGCTTTTGTCTCACGGCTTTTAGACTTATTTCCTTCATGTTGACTTTTTATAGCCTGTTGACTATGTCTTGGTGATCATCTTTTTCTAATGAGTCTCACAGGAGTTCTTTGAGCTTCTTATATTTGAATATCTAAATCTCTAGCAAGATCAGGGAAGTTTTCCTCAATTATTCACTCAAATAAGTTTTCCAAACTTTTTGCTTTTTCTTCTCCCTCAGTAACACCAATTAATTTTAGGTTTAACCATTTTACATAATCTCACATTTGTTGGAAACTTTGCTCCTTTCTTTTGATTCTTTTAATTTTTGTCTGATTGGGTCAATTCAAAAGTCTTTTCTTCTAGCTCAGAAATTCTTTCTTCTACTTGTTTTAGTTTATTGTTGAAACTTTCCACTGCATTTTGTAATTTCCTATGTCTTTCATTTCTGGAATTTCTGATTGGTTTTGCTTTAAGATATCTATCTCTTTTGCAAATTTTTCATTCATATCTTGAATTTTTTTTTTAAAAAGCAGGTTTTCACTTTCTTTTGTTATCCCCTTGAGTAGCTTAACAATCAACCTTAAAAATTCTTTATCTGGTATTTCAAATATTTCATTTTGGTTTGTATTTATTGCTGCAGGGCTGGTGTAATCTTTTGGGGTTGTTATAGAACCCTTTCTTGTCATATTACTAAAATTATTTTTTCTGATTTCTTCTTACATGTGTAGACTATTTCTTCTAATTAGTCTGAATGTATTTTGTATTTAATTGCGGGTTTTAAAAATTTTCTTGTCCCCACCCCCAAGAATGTGACTTTCATATTTATAGTTTATTGTAGCCTAATTTGGCTCTTGATTCCTTCAGGGGTGAAGACTCTATATAAGTTCCTTGGTTATAGAGAGTTTTCGTATGATGGATGATGATTGTAGTAACAATGTGCTCAGTGTATGAACAAGTTCACTGTTTTCTATAGGGTTGCAATGGCAGAAATCTCTTGAAGCTTAACTCATTCCCCTATTTTGTGTACTTATTAATTTATTTATTTGTTCCCCAGTATTTTATTTACTGGGTTGACTATTTCAGGCCAATAAGGGGTATGTCCATGGGTAAAAACTGGCTATGGCTAAAGTAGATGGGTAAATGCAATACCCAATGGTGGGCAGAGGTCCCAGCCTTGACAGAGGTGGCTAGGGAAGCTCTCAGCAAAATGCACTGAGGTCTTTTAAGAGGGAAGGACTGGATCTACCTCAGCTTCCCTACCAGGGCAGCAGAAAAGCTATCCATCACCTAGACACACTCTTCACCTAGTGTTCCAGCTATTCAGATTAGACAGTCACATATTTTTATCTGCAGGAATGTTGATGTTCCAAGTAGAGAGGAATTGTGACTCTACCTCTCATGCAAAGCAACCTGCATTTGGAGGTTGCTCCTTCTGTGGGGATGATGTCACCCTGAAGGGTTCCAGAAAGGCTGTCTCTAAGTGCACCCATGCTGAGCTCTTGGAAAAAACCACAGCTGTGTCCACAGTGGTGGATAAGGGAGAAAAAAGTTTCCTTCTCCAAGACCCTTCACAAGCACCAGGACTGCCTGAGTGTTGGGGTAGAGCTCCTGGGCTGCAGACATTCCCCACTGAGCCTGGCACTGCAACTATGCCTCTCCTGAAAGAAACTTCCCACCAGGAGAAAGATCTGGGACTCAAGTCCTGCTGTTTGGATTATTTTGTCCCAGGCATGTTCCCTTGATGTGGTACCCTCCCCATTCCTCTAGGAGTGGGAATCCCTGAGAGCCCTACTACTGTGAATGCCATTGCTCCCCTGAGTCTAGCTACCCAGTGAAGTTGCCATACTCCAGGCTAGTCCTGGGGAATGTCTACAAGGGATGTGGTGATGTACATGTCCTTAATATCCCCCAGCAACTGGTACCAGCACCAGCCCTAATGGTGGTGGCAGGGGAGTGACAGAGACTGTGAGACTCCTTGGTTATAGGTAGCCTTAGTGTGCTGGCTTTCTCAGTTGTGCGTTGTAGTGGTGATGAACTGGTCATGTGGACAGACTCAGGACCTCCTGGTTGGCCAGGGTGATGCAGGCAATGGCGATAGCAGAAGTTGCACATGAGTTTTCTTCTTTCTGGGAACAGTGTTATTCTACTTGAAGATGCTATAATGGACTACACAGTCCATTTGGTTGGCTGGTTGGCCTCCAGCCAGGAGGTGGTACTTACAAAAGAACACAAGCTACAATGATAGTTATGGGATTTCTGGTTGCCTTATGTTACCCTGGGGAGGTACTCTGGTTTCTCAGGTGATGAGCAGGGCTATAAAGCTCCCGAAAGATTCTATCCTTTGTGTTAAGCTACCATGGTGGTTAGAGGGGCAAAGCCAGATGGGGGCTGGGTCAGGCAGGTTTGTACCCTGGCTCTCTGCCTGTGGGGCAATCAGCAACTCCTATGGGAGTTACAAGGCAGTTATCTGACCACTGTCGTAATGTTTTATAGAGGAACATAGCTGCTTCTGCTGAACAGAAGAGTTCATGCAGGCAGTTTGTAGTAGCAGGTGGCAGTAAGCCTCACCCAGCTCCCAGATACTTGACAAGGCAGGTCTCACACCAGTAGTTTTCCACCTGCAGCAGAAAGCTAAGTTGCAGGCTGTCTACACTCATAATTCACAACTGCCCAGGCCATAAACTTTCTTCACAGAGATAGCAACCACAGGTTTCAGGCCATGCCCCTCCCAATCCACCCACACAGCTAGGACACCCAGCTCCTGGCTGCAGCATACTTCCCTCCCACTCATTCCTTGGTTCTGGCCAAGGGAGTGCTCTCCATTCAAGGCTATACTGTGGAATTCAGCTGGGGACTTTTTTCAACCTGTGATTGCTGTCTGAGTTAGTTGGGAGACATTTATGAGGTTCCTGTGAGGCATAATAAGGAATGGCTTCTCTTGGTCTATGTTGGACACTGGAAATGCATGTGAGGCTCTTCCTGCTGCCACTTCCACTTTTAGATTCCTCACCACTCTCTAAATCAGTTCTAGTGCTGGGTAGGGCTTTCCCCCATGGCCTGGTTTTCCAGGTTCTCCTTTGAGGGTGTATATCCTGGAGGCAGTCTCTCCCTCTCTCAAACTCTGGGACTTACAGTTTTTCTCCCGGCTCAAGATATAGGCGAAGCCTGCAACTTCTTTCAAAGTGTCTCTGGATTTCAGTTTTCCTGTTATGTTCCTGCATTGCTTCTTGGAACAAAAGTTCACAGTTAAATATCTAAAACCTACTTTTTCTTCCCAAGTGGGAGAGGCCTGCTGACGCTCCCTCTAATCCAACATCTTGGACTGGCAAAGAGTTAAGGCCTTAATGACGTAGGTAAATGTAACAATCTTTTAATTTGTGTTTATTTCTTGTTAAGTTCTTTCAAAATATTTACCTACTGATTGATCAAAAACTATTCTACATTACTTGTTAAGCTTTATTATTTTTTCTTTACTATATTGCTATAACCAATGTGGAATTGCTATTTGTGTATGGTGTGTGATAAAGAGCATTTTATAATCATCTATATATATAGATATCCAACATGACAGCATCATTTAATGAAAAATGTCCTTTTTTTACTGCTCTGCAGTGACTTTTTTTACACAAATCTATATTTATGCATAATGTAAATTTTCTTTTTTTTTTATTATACTTTAAGTTTTAGGGTACATGTGCACAATGTGCAGGTTAGTTACGTATGTATACATGTGCCATGTTGGTGTGCTGAACTCATTAACTTGTCATTTAATATTAGGTATATCTCCCAATGCTATCCCTCCCCTCTCCCCCGACCCCAGAACAGGCCCCAGTGTGTGATGTTCCCTTTCCTGGGTCCATGTGTTCTCATTGTTCAATTCCCACCTATGAGTGAGAACATGCAGCATTTGGTTTTTTGTCCTTGCGATAGTTTGCTGAGAATGATGGTTTCTTCCAGCTTCATCCATGTCCCTACAAAGGACATGAACTCATCATTTTTTATGGCTGCATAGTATTCCATGCTGTATATGTGTCACATTTTCTTAATCCAGTCTATCATTGTTGGACTTTTGGGTTGGTTCCAAGTCTTTGTTATTGTGAATAGTGCTGCAATAAACATACATGTGCATGTGTCTTTATAGCAGCATGATTTATAATCCTTTGGGGATATACCCAGTAATGGGATGGCTGGGTCAAATGGTATTTCCAGTTCTAGATCCCTGAGGAATCACCACACTGACTTCCACAATGGTTGAACTAGTTTACAGTCCCACCAACAGTGTAAAAGTGTTCCTATTTCTCCACATCCTCTCCAGCACCTGTTGTTTCCTGCCTTTTTAATGATCGCCATTCTAACTGGTGTGAGATGGTATCTCATTGTGGTTTTGATTTGCATTTCTCTGATGGCCAGTGATGATGAGCATTTTTTCATGTGTCTTTTGGCTGCATAGATGTCTTCTATTGAGAAGTGTCTGTTCATATCCTTTGCCCACTTTTTGATGGGGTTTGTTTGTTTTTTTCTTGTAAATTTGTTTGAGTTCATTGTAGATTCTGGATATTAGCCCTTTGTCAGATGAGTAGATTGCAAAAATTTTCTCCCATTCTATATGTTGCCTGTTCACTCTGATGGTAATTTCTTTTGCTGTGCAGAAGCTCTTGGGTTTAATTAGATCCCATTTGTCAATTTTGGCTTTTGTTGCCATTGCTTTTGGTGTTTTAGACATGAAGTCCTTGCCCATGCCTATGTCCTGAATGGTATTGCCTAGGTTTTCTTCTAGGGTTTTTATGGTTTTAGGTGTAAGTCTTTAATCCATCTTGAATTAATTTTTGTATAAGGTGTAAGGAAGGGATCCAGTTTCAGCTTTCTACATATGGCTAGCCAGTTTTCCCAGCACCATTTGTTAAATAGGGAATCCTTTCCCCATTTCTCGTTTTTGTCAGGTTTGTCAAAGATCATATGGTTGTAGATATGCGGCATTATTTCTGAGGGCTCTGCTCTGTTCCATTGATCTATATCTCTGTTTTGATACCAGTATCATACTGTTTTGGATTCTGTAGCCTTGTAGTATAGATTGAAGTCAGGTAGCATGATGCCTCCAGCTTTGTTCTTTTGGCTTAAGATTGACTTGGCTGTTGCGGAAAGTCAGGGACCCCAAACGGAGGGACCGGCTGAAGCCATGACAGAAGCATGTGGATTGTGAAGATTGTATGGACATTTATTAGTTCCCCAAATTAATACTTTTGTAATTTCTTATGCCTGTCTTTAATGCAATCTCTAAACAGAAATTGTAAAGATTTCATGGACAATTATCACTTCCCCAATCAATATGCTTGTGATTTCCTATGCCTGTCTTTACTTTAATCTCTTAATCCTGTCAGCCGAGAAGGATGTATATCATCTCAGGACCCTGTAATAATTGGGTTAACTACACAAATTGTACAGCATGTGTGTTTGAGCAATATGAAATGTGGGCACCCTGAAAAAAGAACAGGATAACAGCAATTGTTCAGGGAATAAGAGAGAGAACCTTAAACTCTGACCGCCAGTGAGCCGGGCAGAACAGAGCCATATTTCTCTTCTTTGAAAAGCAAAAGGGAGAAATATCGCTGAATTCTTTTTCTCAGCATGGGATATCCCCGAGAAAGAGAATGCGCACCTAGGGGTAGGTCTCTGAACTGGTCTCTTATGGTCGAGTTTGCAGAGGTGAAATAAACTCCAGTCTCCCATAGTGCTCCTAGGCTTATTAGGAAGAGGAAATTCCCGCCTAATGAATTTTGGTCAGACCAGTTGATCTCAAAACCCTGTCTCCTGATAAGATGTTATCAATGACAATGGTGCCCAAAACTTCATTAGCAATTTTAATTACGCCTCCATCCTGTGGTCCTGTGATCTCCCCCTGCCTCCACTTGCCTTGTTAGATTCTATTACCCTGTTAAGTACTTGATATCTGTCACCCACACCTATTCGTATACTCTCTCCCCTTTTGAAACTGCCTAATAAAAACTTGCTGGTTTTTGTGGCTTGTGGGGCATCACGGATCCTACCAACGTGTGATGTCTCCCCCGGACGCCCAGCTTTAACATTTCTCTCTTTTGTACTCTGTCCTTTTATTTCTCAAGCCAGCCGACGCTTAGGAAAATAGAAAATAACCTACGTGATTATCAGGGCAGGTCCCCTGATACTTGGCAATGCAGGCTCTTTTTTGGTTCCATATGAACTTTAAAGTAGTTTTTTCCAATTCTGTGAAGAAAGTCGTTGGTAGCTTGATGGGGATGGCATTGAATCTATAAATTACCTTGCGCAGTATGGCCATTTTCATGATATTGATTCTTCCTACCCATGAGCATGGAATGTTCTTCCATTTGTTTGTATCCTCTTTTATTTCATTGAGCAGTGGTTTGTAGTTCTCCTTGAAGAGGTCCTTCACGTCCCTTGTAAGTTGGATTCCTAGGTATTTTATTCTCTTTGAAGCAGTTGTGAATGGGGGTTCACTCATGATTTGACTCTCTGTTTGTCTGTTATTGGTGTATAAGAATGCTTGTGATTTCTGCACATTGATTTTGTATCCTGAGACTTTGCTGAAGTTACCTATCAGCTTAAGGGGATTTGGGGCTGAGACGATGGGGTTTTCTAGATATACAATCATGTTATCTGCACACAGGGACAATTTGACTTCCTCTTTTCCTAATTGAATACCCTTTATTTCCTTCTCCTGCCTGATTTCCCTGGCAAGAACTTCCAACACTTTGTTGAATAGGAGTGGTGAGAGAGGGCAACCCTGTCTTGTGCCAGTTTTCAAAGGGAATGCTTCCATTTTTGCCCATTCAGTATGATATTGGCTGTGGGTTTGTCATAGATAGCTCCTATTTTGTTGAGATACGTCCCATCAATACCTAATTTATCAAGAGTTTTTAGCATGAAGGTTGTTGAATTTTGTGAAAGGCTTTTTCTGCATCTATTGAGATAATCATTTGGTTTTTGTTGTAGGCTCTGTTTATATGCTGGATTACATTTATTGATTTGCATATGTTGAACAAGCCTTGCATCCCAGGGATGAAGCCCACTTGATCATGGTGGATAAGCATTTCGATGTGCTGCTGGATTCAGTTTGCCAGTATTTTATTGAGGATTTTTGTATCGATTTTCCTCACGGATATTCGTCTAAAATCCTCTTTTTTTGTTGGGTCTCTGCCAGTCTGTTGTGTCAAGATGATGCTGGCCTCATAAGATGAGTTAGGGAGGATTCCCTCTTTTTCTATTGATTGAAATAGTTTCAGAAGGAATGGTACCAGCTCCTCCTTGTACCTCTGGTAGAATTCGGCTGTGAATCCATCTGGTCCTGGACTTTTTTTTGGTTGGCAGGCTACTAATTATTGCCTCAATTTCGGAGCCTGTTATTGTTCTTTTCAGAGATTCAACTTCTTCCTGGTTTAGTCTTGGGAGGGTGTATGTGTCAAGGAATTTATCCATTTCTTCTAGATTTTCTAGTTTATTTGTGTAGAGGTGTTTATAGTATTCTCTGATGGTAGTTTGTATTTCTGTGGGATCAGTGGTGATATCCCCTTTATCATTTTTTAGTACGTCTATTTGATTCTTCCCTCTTTTCTTCTTTATTAGTCTTGCTAGTGGTCTATCAATTTTGTTGATCTTTTCAAAAAACCAGCTCCTGGATTCATTGATTTTTTGAGGGTTTTTTTTGTGTCTCTATTTCCTTCAGTTCTGCTCTGATCTTAGTTATTTCTTGCCTTCTGCTAGCTTTTGAATGTGTTTGCTCTTGCTTCTCTAGTTCTTTTAACTGTGATGTTAGGGTGTCAATTTTAGATCTTTCCTGCTTTCTCTTGTGAGCATTTAGTGCTGTAAATTTCCCTCTACACACTGCTTTGAATGTGTCCCAGAGATTCTGGTATGTTGTCTGTGTTCTCGGTGATTTCAAGGAACATCTTTATTTCTGCCTTCATTTCGTTATGTACCCAGTAGTCATTCAGGAGCAGGTTGTTCAGTTTCCATGTAGTTGAGTGGTTTTGAGTGAATTTCTTAATCCCGAGTTCTAGTTTGATTGCACTGTGGTCTGAGAGACAGTTTGTTATAATTTCTGTTCTTTTGCTGAAGAGTGTTTTACTTCCAACTATGTTGTCAATTTTGGAATAGTTGCGGTGTGGTGCTGAAAAGAATGTACATTCTGTTGATTTGGGGTGGGGAGTGCTGTAGATATCTATTAGGTCCGCTTGGTCCAGAGCTGAGTTCAATTCCTGGATATCCTTGTTAACTTTCTGTCTCGTTGATCTGTCTAATGTTGACAGTGGTGTGTTAAAGTCTCCCATTATTATTGTGTGGGAGTCTAAGTCTCTTAGTAGGTCTCTGAGGACTTGCTCTATGAATCTGGGTGCTCCTGTATTGGGTGCATATACATTTAGGATAGTTGGCTCTTCTTGTTGAATTGATCCCTTTACCATTATGTAATGGCCTTCTTTGTCTCCTTTGATCTTTGTTGGTTTAAAATCTGTTTTATCAGAGACTAGGATTGCAAGCCCTACCTTTTTTTGTTTTCCATTTGCTTGGTAGATCTTCCTCCATCCCTTTATTTTGAGCCTATGTGTGTCTCCGCATGTGAGATGGGTTTCCTGAGTACAGCACATTGATGGGTCTTGACTCTTCATCCAATTTGCCAGTCTGTGTCTTTTAATTGGGACATTTAGCCCATTTACATTTAAGATTAATATCGTTATGTGTGAATTTGATCCTGTCATTATGATCTTAGCTGGTTATTTTGCCCATTAATTGATTCAGTTTCTTCCTAGCCTCGATGGTCTTTAAAATTTGGCATGTTTTTGCAGTGGCTGGTACCGGTTGTTCCTTTCCATGTTTAGTGCTTCCTTCAGGAGCTCTTTTAGGGCAGGCCTGGTGGTGACAAAATCTCTCAGCATTTGCTTGTCTGTAATGGATTTTATTTCTCCTTCACTCATGAAGCTTAGTTTGGCTGGATATGAAATTCTGGGTTGAAAATTCTTTTCTTTAAGAATGTTGAATATTGGCCCCCACTCTCTTCTGGCTTGTAGAGTTTCTACCTAGAGATCTGCTGTTAGTCTGATGGGCTTCCCTTTGTGGGTAACCCGACCTTTCTCTCTGGCTGCCCTTAACATTTTTTCCTTCGTTTCAACTTTGGTGAATCTGACAATTATGTGTCTTGGAGTTGCTCTTCTTGAGGAGTATCTTTGTGGCATTCTCTGTATTTCCTGAATTTGAATGTTGGCCTGCCTTTCTAGATTGGGGAAGTTCTCCTGGATAATATCCTGCAGAGTGTTTTCTAACTTGGTTCGATTCTCCCTGTCACTTTCAGGTACACCAATCGGACATAGATTTGGTGTTTTCACGTAGTCCCATATTTCTTGGAGGCTTTGTTCGTTTCTTTCTATTCTTTTTTCTCTAAACTTCTCACTCCATTTCATTCATTTGATCTTCCATCACTGATACCCTTTCTTCCAGTTGATTGAATCAGCTACTGAGGCTTGTGCATTTGTCACGTAGTTCTTATGCCTTGGTTTTCAGCTCCATCAGGTCCTTTAAGGACTTCTCTGCATTGGTTTCTCTAGTTAGCCATTTGTCTAATTTTTTTCAAAGTTTTTAACTTCTTTGCCATGGGTTGGAACTTCCTCCTTTAGCTCGGAGTAGTTTGATCATCTGAATCCTTTTTCTCTCAACTCATCAAAGTCATTCTCTGTCCAGCTTTGTTCCATTGCTGGTGAGGAGCTGCATTCCTTTGGAGGAGGAAAGGCGCTCTGATTTTTAGAGTTTCCAGTTTTTCTGCTCTGCTTTTTCCCCATCTTTGTGTTTTTACCTACCTTTGGTCTTTGATGATGGTGATGTACAGATGGGTTTTTGGTGTGTATGTCCTTTCTGTTTGTTAGTTTTCCTTCTAACAGTCAGGACCCTCAGCTGCAGGTCTGTTGGATTTTGCTGGAGGTCCACTCCAGACGCTGTCTGCCTGGGTATCAGCAGCAGAGGCTGCAGAACAGTGGATATTGGTGAACAGCAGATGTTGCTGTCAGATCGTTCCTCTGGAAGTTTTGTCTCAGAGGAGTACCCGGCCATGTGAGGTGTCAGTCTGCCCCTACTGGGGGGTGCCTCCCAGTTAGGCTATTCAGGGTTCAGGGACCCACTTGAGGAGGCAGTCTGTCCGTTCTCAGATCTCCAGCTGCATGCTGGGAGAACCACTAGTCTCTTCAAAGCTGTCAGACAGGGACATTTAAGTCTGCAGAGGATTCTGCTGCCTTTTGTTTGGCTATGCCCTGTCCCCAGAGGTGGAGTCTACAGAGGCAGGCAGGCCTCCTTGAGCTGCGGTGGGCTCCACCCAGATGGAGCTTCCTGGCAGCTTTGTTTACCTACTCAAGTCTCGGCAATGGCGGGTGCCCCTCCCCCAGCCTCGCTGCTGCCTTGCAGTTTGATCTCAGACTGCTGTCTAGCAATGAGTGAGGCTCCGTGGGCATAGGACCCATCCTAGACAGGCGTGGGATATAATCTCCTGGTGTGGCGTTTACTAAGACTGTTGGAAAAGCGCAATATTAGAGTGTGAGTGACCCTGTTTTCCCAGTGCCATCTGTCACCTCTTTCTTGGACTAAGAAAGGGAATTCCCTGACCCCTTGTGCCTCCCAGGTGAGACGATGCTTTGCGCTGCTTCAGCTCATGCTGGGTGAGCTGCACCCACTGTCCTGCACCCACTTTCCGACACTCTCCAGTGAAATGAACCCCGTCCCTTAGTTGGAAATGCAGAAATCTCCTGTCTTCTGCGTCACTCAGGCTGGGAGCTGTAGACTGGAGCTGTTCCTATTCGGCCATCTTGGCTCCACCCTCCATAGAAATGTAGATTTTCTTTACATCCTTGCCAGCATGTGTTCTTGCCTGTCTTTTGAATACAAGCCATTTTAACTAGGGGGAGATGACATACCATTGTCATTTTAATTTGCATTTCTCTGATTATTATTGATATTGAGCACCTTTTCATATGCCTGTTTACTATTTATATGTCATTTTTGAGAAATGTTTATTTGAATATTTTGCCTATGTTTTAATTAGATTATTAGATTTCTTTCTGTAGGGTTATTTGGGCTGCTTATATATTCTGATTATGAATCCTTTGGTCTGATAGGCAGTTTTCAAATATTTTCTCCTGTGGGTTGTGGTCTGTGGGTAGTGTCTTCACTTTGATGATTGTATCCTTTGTTCTGGACAAGCTTTTTAACTTGATGTGATCCTATTTGTCAATTTTTGCGTTGGTTGCCTGCGCTTGTGGGCTATCATCGCTCAAGAAATTTTTGCCCAGACAAATTCTTAGAGATTTTCCCCAATGTTTTCTTGTAGTTGTTTCACAGTTTGATATCTTAGATTTAAGTCTTTAATCCATTTGGATTTGATTTTTGTACATACTGAGAGATAGAGGTCTAGTTTTACTCTGCAAATGGATATTTGGTTTTCCTATTGTCATTTACTGAAGTGACTGTCTTTTACTGAGTGTATGTTCTTGGCAACTTTGTCAAAAATGAATTCTCTGTAGGTATGTGGCTTTGATTCTAGGTTCTCTTTTCTTTTCCGTTGGTCTACATGTCTCCTTTTATGCCAGAACTGTGCTGTTTTGGTTACTATCACTTTGTAGCAGAAGTTGAAGACAGGTAATGTAATTCCTTAAGCTTTTAAAAAAATTTTATTTGCTTCAGGTAGATTTGTCTATTCTGGGTGTTTTTGGTTCCATATGGATTTTAGGATCAAATTTTCTATTTCTGTGAAAAACGTCATTGAATCTGTAGATTGCTTTGGGTAGTATGAACATTTAAAAAATATTGATTCTTCCAATTTATGAACATGAAGTGTTTTTTTCCTTATGTTTTGTCCTCTTCAATTTATTTTATCAATATTTTATAGTTTTCATAGTGGAGATCTTTCACTTCTTAGGTGAAGTTAATTCCTAGGTATTTAATTTTATGTGTGGCTATTGTAAATGGAATTACTTTTTAAATTTCATTTTCACGTTGTTCACTGTTAACATTTAGAAATACTACTGATTTTTGTTTGTTGATTTTGTATCCTGCAAATTTACTGAATTTATCAGTTCTAATAGTTTTTTGGTGGCATCTTTCAGTTTTTCCAAATATATAATATTATCTATAAACAAAGATAATTTGACTTATTTCCTTCCAATTTGGATGCCCTTTATTTCTTTTCTTTTTGTTTTTGAGATGGAGTCTTGCTCCATCGCCAGGCTGGAGTGCAGTGGTGCAATCTCGGCTCACTGCAGTCTCTGCCTCCCAGGTTCAAGCAATCCTTCTGCCTCAACCTCCCGAGTAGCTGGGACTACAGGCATGTGCCACCACACCCTGCTAACTTTTGTATTTTTAGTAAAGATGGAGTTTCACCATGTTGGCCAGGATGGTCTTGATCTCTTGACCTTGTGATCTTCCAACCTTGGCCTCCCAAAGTGCTGGGATTACAGGCCTGAGCCACCATGCCCAGCCTTGGATACCCTTTATTTCTTTCTGTTGTCTGACTGCTCCTGCTAGGACTTTCAGTACTAGGTTGAATAACTTATGACAGTGGGCCTCCTTGTGGTGTTCCATATCTAAGAGGAAAGGTTTTTCATTTTTTTCCCCATATTCAGTATGATACTAGCTATGGGTCTATCATATATGGCTTTCATTATGTTGAGCTATGTTCCTTTTATATTCTGTTTTTCAATGTTTTTACCATAAAGGGATGTTGAGCTTTATCAAATGCTTTTCCAGCATTAATTGAAATGATCTTATGGTTTTTGTCCTTCACTCTGTTGATTCACTGTATCACATTGATTGATTTGTGTATGTTGAACTATCCTTGCATTCTAGGGGTAAATCTCACTCTGTCATGATGAATGATCTTTTTAATGTATTGTTGAATTGGTTTGCTAGTATTTTGTTGAGGATTTTTGCATCAATATTTATCAGAGATATTTGCTTGTGGTTTACTGTTTTTCAATGTCTTTGGTATCAGAGTAATGCTGACCTCATGTAATTAGTTTGAAAGTATTCCATCCTCCTCTACTTTAAAAAATAGTTTAATTAGGATTTGTATTAGTTCTTCTTAAAATGTTTGGTAGAATTCAATAGTGAAGGCATCAGTCCCTGGGTTTTTTTTTTAACTGAAAGATTTTTATTATTTATTATGGCTTCAATCTTGTTACTTGTATTTGGTCTGTTCTGGTTTTAAATTTCTTCCTATTTCAACCTTGGTAGATTGTATATATCTAGGAATTTGTTCATTTCTTCTAGATTTTCCGATTAATTGGCATGTAGTTGCTTATAGTAGCCACTAGTGATCCTTTGAATTTCTGCAGTATCAGTTGTAGCATCTCCTTTTTCATTTCTGATTTTATTTATTTGGATCATCTCTCTCTATCTCTGTTTTCTTTTGTTGTTGTTGTTTGTTTTTTGTTTTGTAGTTAGCCTGGTTAAAGGTTTGAAAATTCTGTTTAACTTTTCAAAAACCTATCTTTTTGTTTTATTCTTCTTTTGTATTTTTTTCAATTTCAGTTTTATTTGTTTCTCCTTTGAGCTTTATTATTTCTTTTCTTCTACTAATTTTGGATTTGGTTTGCTCTTGCTTTTCTCATTCTTTCAGATGCATTATTAGATTGTTCATTTGAAGTTTTTCCTCTTTTTTCATGCAGGCACTTTTAGCTATAAACTTTCCTATTAGTACTGCTTTTTCTGTATCCCATAGGTTTTGGTATGTTGTGTTTCCATTTTCATTTGTTTTAAGAAAGTTTTTGATTTTCTTTTTAATTTCTTCATTAACTGGTCATTTAGGAGCATATAGTTTAATTTTCATATATTTGTATAGTTTCCAAAATTCCTCTGTTATTAATTTCTAGTTTAATCCATTATAATCAGAGAAGATGCTTTATGTTATTTCAATGTTTTGAGTGTTTTAAGACATTTTGTTACCTAACACATGGTCTGTCCCTGAAAATAATCTATGTGCTGAGGAAAAGAATGCGTATTCTACAGATTTTGGATAAAATCTTCTGTAAATATCTATTAGATCCATTTAATCTACAGTGCAGATTAAGTCAATGTTTCTTTGTTGATTTTCTCTCTGGAAGATCTGTTCAATCCTGAAAGTGAGATGTTGAAGTCTTCAGCCATCATTGTATTGAGGAATATATCTCTCTTTAGCTCTAATAACTTTTGTAATTTTGGCTTTATATATGTGGGTGGTTCAGTGTTGAGTGCATATGTATTTTAAATTGTTATATTCTGTTACTGAATTGACTCCTTTATCATTATATAGTGACCTTCTTTGTCTCTTCTTATAGTTTTGGTCTTTAAATCTGTTTGCCTGATAGAAATATAGTGACTCCTGCTCTTTTTGATTTCCCTTGGCATGAAATATTTTTCTATTCCTATATTTTCAGTCTAAGTGTGTCTTTATAGGTGAAGTATGTTTCTTCTAGGCAGCAGATCAATGGATTTTGTTTTTTCATCCATTCAGCTAGTCTATGTCTTTTCATTTAAGGATTTAGATTATTTACATTCAATGTTGTTATTGATAAGAAAGGACTTACTTCTCTCAAATTTTTGTTATTTGTTTTCTGGTCTTCTCTTCTTTCTTTCTTTCCTTCCTGTCTTCCTCTAGTAAATATCATTTTGTCTGGTGATATGATTTAGTTTCTTGCTTTTTATTTTTCATGAATTCATTGTATAAGTTTTAGTTTGAGATTAACATGAGGCTTGCAAATACTATCTTATAACCCATTATTTTAACCTGATAACAACTTAAAATTGTTTGCATAAACAAACAGGCAAAAAGAACACTAATAAAAACTCTAGGCCTTAACTTTGTCCCCAGACTTTTTAACTTTTTGTTTCTATTTATATTTTGTTGTACTGACCATATCTTAAAAAGTTTTTGTAATTATTATTTTTGATTGATTCATCATTTAGTCTTCCTACTTAGGATAAGAGTAGTTTACAGACTATTGTGGGAAGTCAGGGGCCCCGAATGGAGGGACTGGCTGAAGCCGTGGCAGAAGAACATAAATTGTGAATATTTCATGGACATTTTTTAGTTCCCTAAATTAATACTTTTATAATTTCTTACACCTGTCTTTACTGCAATCTCTGAACATAAATTGTGAAGATTTCATGTACATTTATCACTTCCCCAGTCAATACTCTTGTGATTTCCTATGCCTGTCTTTAATCTCTTAATCCCATCATCTTCATAAGCTGTGGATGAATGTCACCTCAGGACCCTGTGATGATTGTGTTAATTGCACAAATTGTTTAAACAATATGAAATCTGGGCACCTTGAAAAAAGAACAGGATAACAGCAATGTTCAGGGAACAAGGGAGATAACCTTGAAGTCTGGCTGCCTGTGGGCCGGGCAGGACAGAGTCATATTTCTCTTATTAGTGAAAATGGGTAGGATAAATATCGCTGAATTCTTTCCCCAGTAAGAATGATTAATAATTAACAGCCCTGGGAAAAGAATGCATTCCCAGGGCAGGGCCTCTAAAATGGCCACCCTGGGAGTGTCTGCCTTATGCAGATGTAGATAGGGATGAAACACACCCTAGTCTCCTGCAGCACCCCCAGGCTTGCTAGGATTAGGAAATTTCAGCCTGGCAAATTCTAGTCAGACCAGTTCTCTGCTCTTGAACCCTGACAATGCGTGCACAGTGGGATATGGAAGTTCATTAGTGATTCTAGTTTCGCCTTGACCTTCTGCCTTGTGATCTTTTGTTGCCCTTGAAGCATGTGATCTCTGTGACCCACACCCTATTCATGCACTCCCTCCCCTTTGAAAATTGCTAATAAAAACTTGCTGGTTTTATGGCTCAGGGGGCATCATGGGACCTGCCCACATGTGATGTCTCCCGTGGACACCCAGCCTCAAAATTTCTCTCTTTGTACTCTTTCCCTTTATTTCTCAGACCGGCTGACACTTAGGGAAAATAGAAAAGAACCTACGTGAAATATCAGGGGTGAATTTCCCCCGATAACATACTACAGTTACAGTGTTATTATATTCTGTATTTTTCCGTCTACTTACTGCTACCAGTGAATTTTGTACTTCAGGTGGTTACATGTTGCTTCTTAGCACCCTTTTCATTGTGATTGAGGGACTCTTCAGCATTTCTTGTAGGACAGGTCTGGAATTGATGAAATCCCTAGCTTTTGTTTGTCTGGGAAAGTCTCTATTTCTTCTTCACGTTTGAAGGGTATATATTTTTACTGGATAAACTATCTAGGGTAAGAGCTTTTTTTTTTTTTCCCTTCAATACATTACATATGTCATGCCACTTTCTCCTAGCCTGTAAGGTTTCCACTGAGAATTCTGCTGCCAAATGTATTGAAGCTCCATTTTATGTTACTTACTTTTATTTTTTTTTTCTCTTGCTGCTTTTAGGATCCTTTCTTAATTCTTGACTTTTGGGAGTTGACTTATTGAATGCCTTGAGGTAATCTTCTTTGGGTTAATTCTGCTTGGTGTTCTGGAACCCTCCTGTGCTTGGCTATTGATACCTTTCTTTAGGTTTGGAACATTCTTTGTTATTATCCCTTTGAATAAGGTTTTTATCCCTATCTCTTTCTCTACCTCCCCATTAAGGTCAATAACTTTCAGATTTGCCGTTTTGAGGCGATTTTCCAGATCCTGTAGGCATGCTTCATTGTTTTTTCTTTTTCTTTTTCTCCTCTTACTATGTATTTCCACATAGCCTGTCTTCAAGCTCACTACTTCCAGAATGTCTGCTTAATTCTTTTTAATTATTTTAATCTCTTTGTTAGATTTATCTGATAGACTTCTGAATTCCTTCTCCATGTTGTTTTGAATTTCTTTGAGTTTCCTCACCACAGCTGTTTTGAATTCTCTGTATGAAAGGCCACATGTCTTTGTTTTCCTAGGATTGGTCCCTGGTGCCTTATTTAGTTCATTTGTTGAGGCCACGTTTTCTTGGATGGTATTGATGCTAATAGATGTTCTTCAGTGTCTGGGCATTGAAGAGTTAGGTATTTATTGTAGTCTTCACTGTCTGGGCTTATTTGTAGCTGCCCTTCTTGGGAAGGTTTTCCAGATATTTGAAAGGACTTGAGTGTTGTGATCTAAGCTGCATCTGGTTTGGGGAGCACCCCAAGCCCAGTAATGCTGTGGTTCTTGCAGACTTGTAGAAGTACTGCCTTGATGTTCTTGAACAAGATCCAGGAGAATTCTCTGGATTACCAGGCAGAGACTCTTGCTCTCTTCCCTTACATTCTCTCAAACATACACAGTCTTTCTCTGTGTTATGAACCATCTAAAGCTGGGGGTGGAGTGACACAAGCACTCTTGTGGCCACCATCAATGTGACTACACTGGGTCAGACTTAAAGCTAGCACAGCACTGGGTCTCACCCAAGGCCTGATGTAACTACTCCCTGGCTACTACCTATGTTCACTGAATGCCCTGAGGCTCTACAGTCAGATGGTGTCAAAGTCAGAGAGGCCAGTGCCCTTCCCTTCATTGCAGCAAGGTCCCCCAGGCCCTGGATCAGTCTGGAAGTGCCATCCAGGAGTCAGGGACTGCAGTCAAAAACTTTAGAAGTCTACCTGGTGTTCTATTGTATTGTGGCTGAGCCAGCGCTCAAACCACAAGATGCAGTCCTTCCCATTCTTCCCTCCGCTTTCCAAAGGCAGAGGATCCTCACTCTGTAGGCCCTGAGGAGCACTGCCAGACTATTGCTGATGTTCCATTAAGGCCCAAGGTTTATTAAGTCAGCCTGTGGTGAATGCTGCCTCACTTGGGACTCCTGCTTCAGGGCAATGGGCTCCCCTCTGGCCCAGGAAAGTCCAGAAATGCCTTCCAAGAGTCAAGTCTTGGAAATGGGGACTCCAAGAACCCACTTGGTACTCTATCTCCCTGTGGCTATGCTGGTATTAAAGGTGTAATAAAAAGTCCCCTTTACTTTTTCTTCTGCTCTTCTCAAGCAGGAGTTTTGTCCCATAAGCACCACAGCTGATAAAGTGCTGAGTCTCACCTGAAGCCAGCAAGTCTCAGAGGCTCACCCAAGGCCCTTAATGTAGTACCTGGGTATCACTGTTGGTTATTCAGGGCCCAAGGGTTCTTCAGTTAGCAGGTGATAAATCTTTTCAGGACTGGGCTGTTTTCTTCAAGGCAATCGGTTCCCTTCTGTCCCAGGTTGTGGCTAAAAATGTCATCTGGGAGCTAAGACCTGGAATGGGGGCCTCATTACTCCTATTAGTGTCCTATTCTGCTGTGACTGAGCTGGTATCCTCAATGCAAGATAAAGTCCTCTCCACTTTTCCCTCTTCTCTCTTCAAGCAGAGGGCAGGGGTCTCTTTTGGAGCCATGAGCTGTGCAGCCAGGGGGTAGGGAAGGGGCAATGCCAGCACCCCCTTGGCTGCCCCAGCTGGTGTCTCATTATGTCACGTCTCCCCAGTCCACTGTCTCTGGGTCTATTTTGGCACCAGGACTCATCTAAGAGTTGCAGTCCTTATGGCCTAGAGTGCCCTTCAGGTTTATTTGGGGAGACACAGAGTTCTGTAGCTATTGGTAGTGAGGTTTGTGGGCACTCAAGTTTGTACCACTGGCATCAGTGATTCCCCTCTTGTTAGGGCTGGTTTAAATGCTCCTCCATGGGTGGGCATCAGCTGAGTTTAGTCTGATTTTCCTTTCTTCTCCAGCAGGACAGCACTGAGCTCAAGGCCTCACAACTGCTGTGTTCTTCCTTCCCCAGGTCCCAGACTCACTGTCTGTACCCCACTGTGGCTGGGAGGTGGGTGAGGGGTGGCAGTGGTGATTCAGGACTGTTTTTTCTATTTTTCCAGTGCCTCTTTCAGTGATCTGAAGTTAAAGCCAGGTACTATGAGTGCTCACCTGATTTTTAGTTCGTATGAAGGTGTTTCTTCTGCATAAATAGTTGTTAACTTGGTGTCCTCACAGTGGGAACCATCAGTGAAGCTGTCTATTCTGCCATCTTGGTCTGCCTCCCCTCTGCTAATATTTTCATTAGAATATTTGCAATTTATGTTTATAAGAAAGAACTTCCATTTTTTAATGTACTTTTAAAATGTTTGTATCAACCTTGTGAAGCGTAATGAACATAATATATATTGGGCAGTTTCCATTTAACCCACTGTTGATAGAGTTGGAAATATTTTGTCCTTGAATGTTTGGTATAATTTCTTAGAGAAGCCAGTGGAAACTAGAGAGCATTAGAGAGTATGTGTATGCTTGTGTGTGTATGTGTGCACACCTCCAAAGTGTTACTAATTCAAATAAATAAATATAAGCAAATTAATTTGCTAACTTATCACATGACTTGATAAGTTACATTTTTGAAAATATTTTCATATTTCATATATATTTCAATTCATTGAGGTACAAGCATAAATTTGTCCATATTATTATCTTATATTATCATTTTTTACTTTATGATGGTTGAAGGGTTGGAAGTGATATACCCTTATTCATTTCAGCTATTGGCTATTTGTACCTCATTCAATGCTCTTTGGATTTAATTTGTTATTGCCACCTGCCACAATCTCTTGAGATTTCTCAGCCTGCATTATTTTCTAATATATACATCCAAGGTTACAAATTTCCCTCTAAACAATGTCCACACACCACACTGTTTGATGTGTGACCCTTTTCTTATTCCTTTCAGTTTTCTTTGACTTAAGGCTTATTTGGAGGTATACATTTTAATTTTGAAATCCCTGTATTTTTTTAATTTATAATTTAATTGAATTATGGCCAAAGAAAGTACTGTTTATAGTTTCAATCTTTTCAATGTTTTAAGACTTGTTTATGACTAAATATATTTCAAAAATTTCACATGATTGAACAGGAAGTGTATTCACATTTGTAAGCTCAGCACTTTATATAAGTTAATGAGATTGAATTTTGCTAAATTGCTTAAATATTACATATTTCAGCAATATTTGTGATTACTTTTTTAATGAGTTACTTGGGCTGGGCGTGGTGGCTCACTCTTGTTATCCCACCACTTCAGGAGGCCAAGGCGGGTGGATCACAAGGTCAGGAGATCGAGACCATCCTGGCTAACATGGTGAAGCACCATTTCTATTAAAAATACAAGAATTAGCCAGGCATGGTGGCACACGCCTGTAGTCCCGGCTACTCGGGAGGCTGAGGCAGGACAATGGCATGAACCCGTGAGGCAGAGATTGCAGTGAGCCGAGATTGCACCACTGCACTCCAGCCTGGGCGACAGAGTGAGACAGTGCCTCAAAAAAAAAAAAAAAAAAAAAAAAGACCTTGTGGATTTGTCTTTACCTGCTGATATTTGGTCAATTCTGAGCTTTCTATATTTTGATGCCATGTGTTTGGGTACATACTTATTTAGAATTGCAAAATGTTTCTGGTAAATCCATTCTGACGAATATATTTTTTTCATTTTAAATCTCTGTTATACCTTCTGTTAAATATGTCTTTTTTTCTCAAATGATTATAGGTACTTGTGGGTAAAGCTTAAATGATATATACCTTTTATCATCCTTTGACTTTTAAGCCTCCTGCATCCTTGTGATTTAGACATGTTTTATTGCAATACAGTAGTTTGTTTTGTTTCGCTTTATAATTCAGTCTGACAATATTGTCTTTTCATTAGAATTTGGAGTTCACTTTACATTCAATGTAAACATTTTGATACTTTATTTTAAATCTATTATCTTAATCTGTAATTTTTCTCTTTTTCTGTCAGATGACTTTAAACTGAGATATAGTATAGGTGAGTGGTGGTTTTATTTTCAGTTCTTCCAAATCATACTGCTTAAACTTTTGGCATTTTCCTTCAAAACATACAAACCCATCTCCTCCCACTGGCAGCCCCTGGAATTCAACCTGTATATCTCTAGCACATCATGCTGAGAGAGACACTACACAACCTCTGAGGTGTCCCCGTGGAGACACAGTGTTTTCAGTCGCTTGGTTTTTAATCTGAGTTTTTGCTTTCTCTTGCATCTGGATTAAATAATTGCTCACTAATTAGTGAGCTGCCTGATGCCTTTGATGCTTCTGCAAACATTTTATTTTTATTTTCTCAAGTTTACTATTTATCCTCAGGGGAGGGGTTTTTCTGATTTACCCAGTATAACATTACCGGATGTACAAGTGTTCACAGAATCTTTAAAATATATAAATATGCTCCATTTGAATAATTTATCTTCTGATAGACTGAGGGAAGCTGATATAGCCAAGGTAATCTTTAAATGTACAGTAGGAATTAAATAAATATGTCATTAAAATTTATCCTTAAAGCATTCTATGCAGTAAATATTTTTTTCTCTCACAATGTTCCATCGAAGGGAAGAATTTCTCAAATTTGAGCTATAATTATTGTTTGTAACATTTCTGATTAAAATAGACCAATATAATTTTTCAATTTTTGAAGACTGACAGGCAAAGCTCCATGTAAAAAAAGAAGCATTGTATTTTAGTACATGTTTTTTCTCAAAAAATGATACCACCCTCTTAAGTTTCAATTATCTCATAATGTCTCTAATGAAACTATGTCATTTTGGTGTACTTTAAACACAGATAACATTATTCTTTAACAAGTAACGTTAAAAAATAATTTGCTCCTTGATCTCAGATACATTCATTGGTCCTTAATGTTGTTCCACCAATTATTTTGAATATCTACTGGGTTATCGTTACTCACCACCTGAATGCTTCCTATCAACTTTGCCGTACCTGTGCACATAGGAGTTTTGCAAGGCAAGTCAAATTTACAGTCATGAAATTGTAATTAAACTATATCAGTATAGGATGGACCCAGTGCCTCCCGCCTGTAATCCCAGCACTTTGGGAGGCTGAAGTGGGTGGATCACGAGGTCAGGAGTTCAAGAACAGCCTGGCCAAGATAGTGAAATCCCATCTCTACTAAAAATACAAAAATTAGCTGGGTGTGGTGGTGCGTGCCTGTAAACCCAGCTACTCAGGAGGCTAAGACAGGAGAATCGCTTGAACCAGGGAGATGGAGGTAGCAGTGAGCCAAGATTGTGCCACTGCACTCCAGCCTGGGCAACAGAGCAAGACTCCACCTCAAAAAAAAAATTGTACATCAGTATAGACAAGAAAGTAAATAAATGTCTAATTTACATGTCTTAAATATTAATGGAGATGTGCAGTGGAACGAAGTTCTGTAGCTTCAAAATGAATCCTAAGTAGCCTTCTTTTAAATCTTTTAGGCAATCTTTGTAAAGTATCTCATAATCTAATTATAAAAATTTAGTTCTGTGAACACATTATAATTCACTATGGGAATACCTCTCCATTGATTGTCATTTTAAGTACTTAAAAATGCTGGACTGTGTATAAATATATAGATTCACATATTTGGAATGGGTAAGAAAATGTTTAAAGTATATAAATTTAATGTATTTTCAGAAACATATGCATCTCCATATAAAATGTGTAACATGTTTTTAACAATATTCTGTGGACCATTTTCCTCTCAGTATGTTGTGTATCAGTAATTCATAATGGGAGAAAAAAAGTATCCATCTTTGTGAATCATTGCTACCTTGCGCCACTTTATACTGATATATGTGGGTCCTAGCCACCAAATTTGTTAGTGCTGGTAAAGAAAAAGTAAAGACTTAGAACCGCTGGTAACAATTGCACTGTTAATAATTGCACTGTTAAATTTTGGGGGAGGTGATTTAAGATGAAAAATTTAAATTGACCAAGATGGATATCTCTTTAGAATTATATAATGCAAACTGACTTGAACATAGACAATCACAATTACTGTTGGGTAAATGTTTTCTCGGATCATTTCAACAATACATAAAAAACTAGATAATGTTGCACAGTGGCTGAACCGGCTGCATAGCAGCAGCTTAGGGATCCTCAGTGCAGAAGTGTGAGTGCTTGGGCTGAAGAGCTTGCGTGGTTTGGCCCCTCTCCTGCTGACCAGAAGAGCCTCTTGGTAATTGCTACCCTGGCTCGGTGGCCTTCTGTTAAGTTTACCTCAATGGAAATCTTTTTCAGAAGTGTTGGTTTGTTGTTAAGTTTCATCAAGGAATACAAACTGACCTAAGTTTTACCAGGCGAAACAGGCCACCTTACTTCGCGCAACTCCATTCTAATTAAATTGCATTTAATATATAAAGCCATCAAGGACTTGAGGTTTTTTTGATGTAGTAAATACTACTTTTGTTCAATGGGAAAATACCTATTTACTTCTTTGATTAAAAAGAAAAGACCTTTGAATTGTCCTTCGAGGCAAAGCATTTCATCCAGATACTGCCCCATAGATTTTTGCCTGAAAAGTTTGTATCTGGATATTAGGTGTCCATTTGTACTTGGGAAGCTTTGGTGTATATATATATCATATATACATATATATATACACACACACATATATATCATAGATACACATAGATATATAAGATATATATATAGGATATATATATAGGATATCTATGTGTATCTATGATATATATGTGTATACATATAGCATATCTATGTATATATATGATATGTATGTATATATGCGTGTGTGTGTATATATATATATATATATATATATATATATATATATATATATATATCTTTTTTTTGAGACGGAATCTCACTCTGTTGCCCAGGTTGGAGTGCAGAGGCACGATCTTGGCTCACTGCAACCTCCGCCTCCCTGGTTCAAACAATTCTCCTTTCTCAGCCTCTTGAGTAGCTGGGATTACAGGCACCCACCACCACACCCAGCTAATTTTTTGTATTTTTAGTAGAGAACTGGGTTTCACCATGTTGGTCAGGCTGGTCTTGAACTCTTGACCTCATGACCTGCCCGCCTCGGCCTCCCAAAGTGCTGGGATTAGAGGCATGAGCTACCACGCCTGGCCTAGCTTTGGTATATTTTTAAGATATTTCTGAATATCTCTACTCTGCATATTGAGATTTTTCTTCATTCCTGAGAAGTCTGAGAAAAAAAAGATTTTTGTTCTTTGATGCCACCCATGGTCCCACATAATATTATTTATTGTTCCCTTTCATCTTTGGGTATCCTGTGAATGATTGCTAAATAGTATAATAAAATATATTTACTTTTAACTAAAATGATGTGACAAAATTATAAAAAGCACCAAATATTTTTCCTTACAAAAACGGCTCAGTGATTTCACTCAGAAAGAATGTCCCCGGACCATTCCTATCATTCACCCTCACTCCTTAATAAGCAATAAATTATCTATGAGATATAGCTGTGTTCAAAAACTTGATGTACCTTATGAAGAAAAAAATGACCAGATGTTCCTAGCAGAAGGCTGGGGCTGTAACAATAGGCCTCTGGGACAGTGGGACTGACACGAGAATTAAATGAAAGCTCAGCTCTTGGGAGAGAATAATTTACAAAAAAAAAGAGGAGAAGTGCCAGACCTGGATGCTGTGTACAAGAGGAGGCTGGAGGAGATCCTCTTGCCTTTCAATGAGGGTTGAACATGACCATGGCTGCAGTTCGGCACAGCCTGTCATGAGAAGCAGCTACCCTGAAAGGCAGTGGTAAGAAAGAAATCAGATGGACAGCCCCCAAATTGGAAACCAGGCCAACCCAAGCTGATGAGAGCTCTCTGATGCCATCATAACATCTGGAACCTCATCCAGGAGCTTGAGAATTTGGGTAGAGGTAACAGCAAAACCTGCAGAAATGAAGGGATGAGCAAAAGAAAAAAATGAAACTCACACTTCAAGCTAAACTTTTTAAACAAAATTTTATATATATAAAAATCATACATGTGTTACATATACATGTTAAAATTTTATCTATCATTGTATGTATATACATATATTTATATTTATAAACAAAACCAAACCAGGAGAAATCACACTAGAAATAATGACACAAAACCCCAAAAAGTACCCTAAACAAATGAGTTTAATAATCCTTAAGGAAATAAAGGCAAGGAAAACATCCGTAAAAAATTAGTAAAAAATGAATAGGTGAGGTGATGGACAAGGCAGCAGCAGCAACAGCGTAGTTTTAAAATCATTCCTGATCCACCCCCTGCCCCCCCCACACACACATTATATTAGGAAAACCATCTTCACTATCTACAGGACATCAGAGCCAGTGGCCTATAGACAATATCTACAATAATACGTGGTGACCGGGTAGCCCTACCTTTCTCAAAACACATGAGGGTTGACACAAACCTCAGACCACACCAGGATCATTTCAACAACTGTGAATAAAGATGGGGAGGGAAAGTAAAGCAATTTCGAATGTCCTTGTAAACCAGAGAACATAACATTCATCCACACACAAATTTCTACTAGTGAAAGAGAGGGATAGCAGAGGACAACAGAACTGGCCATGAATGGTGCAGGCTGCATTTGCAGGTGCGTGAAGGATGCTGTAGAAACAATCAGTGCTGGGGCAGTCTGAGTCCCAGGACTTCTCTAAATTCATCAGCCAAAGAACCCTCCAAGGAAAAGCCCCACACAGAGGGGAAGTTTCTGTGAGTAGAATCCACGGTAAGAAGGACAGGAACACTGAAAAGCAAAAGAGAGAAAAGATTCAGACAAAGGGTGGAGAGGGAGCTGAGTTTGAATATCTGAGTTTGTAGCCATATTTTTGAAAACAATTATAACAATAGGTGGGAGTTCAGAACTTGAGAGTTCTAGAGTGATGAGTCTAGAAGGTTATCAAGTTCCAGTCTCCCTCTAAGAACAGAGAAAAACCCACATCACTGAAACATGGACAATAGAAAATATTACAGTCAGATTCCATAAAGATTTTATAAAAACGGTATGAAGAGTAAACAGAGTAATGACAGTCCTACAAAATGATACCATACCAGAAAGACATGGCCTCAGAGGAGATACAATCTGTAATCTAATAGTTCAAAATGAGGTAAAATAAATTCAGAAAGCAATGAATTTTATGAAAGCAATACATTTTCTGAAAGCAGCAATGGAGTCACAAATACAAGTAAGAGGAATACAGAAAGGGGGAATTTGAAAAAAAGAGCTGACAGAACTAAGTAAATGTTGCTAATGAAATAAATAAAAATTTTTTAAAAAAATAAAGTAGAAGGAACACAAGAGTGAATTAACACCAGGGATAGTGCCAAAAGAGAAATAAAATAGAGATTAAAACACAAGCAATCAAGATTTGATAGAAAGTGGTAGCTGTACAAGACACCTGTGCTGACCTAACGTACATGTGGAAGGACACACTAAAGAAATGGAGCAAAAGGCAAAAATTATAACTGAAGAACACAGCCCTGAAAAAAATCAGACTTGAAAGTATATATTTGAAGAACTCGTTATATACTTGGGAAAATCAGCTCTGTGTGGCTAATAAGAAGGATTTTAGTAACACTTTCAACTCTTAAAAAAAAAAAGAATTAAAATCTTTTAGTAACTCCTGATCTTGTCCTTAAATCTAAAATCATTCTCATGCTTGCTTTGCTTCTTGCATCTTATTTCTTCCCAATTTGAAGAGATCCATTTCAAGTTTCTTGAATAATATTTGTACTTATGATTTTTTCCAAATTAATGATCTGTGTAAAGTAAATTCAGCCTCTCTCTAAAGTACCTTTATTTCACCTTTTGTCATGAATCTGATTCATATGGATATAGAATTTTAGTTTTATCATTATTCTCCTCCACCAATTTCAACACATAAAATACACTGTCTACTGGCATCTCTCATTGCTAATGAGAGTCTGATGTAATATATTATCTTATGATTTTGGGAATATTTATTTTCTCTCTGATGGTATTGAAAATTCTGTGGCATTTGATGCTAAGAAAATTCACTATACTGTGTCCATAACAAATAAAGCTTGTTTCTGATTCTACTCAAGATTTTGTATTATACAATTGTCTTCAATTTTGGGCATCTATTTTCCCATTATAAATTATCAATTTAAATATACTACCTACTTCTCCATCCATCTTCTTTTCTAATAAATCTTCTTTTCTAATAAATATCCATTGTCCTCCTTTCCACCCATAACAACGACTGTGTGTGTGCCCAAGCATTCTCGTGTGTATGCATGTGTCCTGCTATGTATGTGTCTGTGTGTTCCTGTCTGTGCCTGTATGTGTGTCTGTGTGTATGCCTGTGTGTGTCTGTGTGTGTACCTGTGTGTGTGTGTATGCCTGTGTGAGTGTGTGTCTGTGTCTGTGTGTATGCCTGTGTGTGCCTGTGTATTCCTGTGTGTGTCTGTGTGTATGCCTGTGTGCCTGTGTGTGTGTGTGTATGCCTGTGTGTGCCTGTGTATGTCAGTGTGTATGCCTGTGTGTGTGTGTGCCTGTGCATGCCAGTGTGTCTGTGTGTGTGTTTGTGTGTATGTCTGTGTGTGCCTGTGCATGCCAGTGTGTCTGTGTGTGTGTTTGTGTGTATGTCTGTGTGTGCTTGTGGGTGTGTCTGCATGTGTGTCTGTATGTATGACTGTGTGTGTCTGCCTGTGTGTGCCTCTGTGTGTCACTGTGTATGTGTTGGTGCGAGTTTTCCTGCATAGGAAGCTAAAGCTTATTTTTCTAGATTATTTTTCTAGATTTAAGTTCCACCTTCATTTTTAGGATATAAGGACAACCTTTCCTAGTTTTGAGCTTGGATATGAATTTTTTAGTATTACATATTTGTAGATGTTCCACCTATCTGTAGTAGAAGCATAGCTGAGAAAAGTGAACTGGTTTCCCTCAATATCATATTAGTCCTAGAACATACCTAACAGTAAGTCCCTTAGTTAATACTTTCTAGTTTTTTTTCACATTGAAATATTTTACTTCTGTGATTTTTGTTTTTATGAAATGATTGATCCTCCAAGTGGTCATATTATCCCTAGAATAAAATTTGAAAAATCACTTGACTCTTTCACGTCCCAGTGACTGAAAGGGGCCAGCGCATTTAGTGGGTATGGATGTGGCTTCTAAGTGCCCCCATGACACTGGAGAAAGTCTTGCTTATGAATTGTCATGCATCCCACATGACAATTAAATGTCTCCTGGAATATTCATATAGGCCAAAAACTGTCTACAATTACCTAATCCCAGACTATCTGTCCATTTTAGTTATCAGTAAATTTTATTTTGAATCATTTATTATACACCGAATTGTCCAGATATACAACTCCTGGCTGTACTGGGGAAATATATTTTTGCTTGGAACACTTTCAATAATTTGCTATTTTGGGAAAATATGTCAATAACCATTAGTATTTGTGCCACTGACTCAACACATCTGTATTGGTGTTCAATATTTTGAGATTATTCTGTATATATGTGTAGATATTTTTTGAAAACCTTTCTTTATAGTAAAGTTTAAACATTTACATTCAGTTGAATAATTAAAATTATTTTTATATCATTTTGCACAGTTTGTACTCTTCTAAATCATTTTTTCAATGAATCAAAACAGTTGTCAAGATTAAGTAAATATTTTGCTAACGTGTTGATAAATATGGGAAAGGTATATCTTAGTTCTGACATGAAGAGACAAACCATAGAATATTTGGAATGTTTAAAAGCCTTCTAACTAGAAGGAAAAAAGCATCAATTTTATGTAAAAATAACATAAAAGGTAGTAACGCTCATAAGTCATGGCATATTGGAGGAAACTAATCTTATGAAGTGTGATAGAAGTTATTAATGTGATAATAAAAATTCAAATAATATCTTCTGTCCAATCGAGCAAAGATACTGTTTTAATTTTTTTTAATGTTTAGTTTTTATGAATACATAGTAGGTGCATATATTTATGTGTACATAAGATGTCTGGATACAGGCATATAATGTGCAATAATCACACCATGGAGAATGGGGCATCCATCCCCTTAAACATTTATTCTTTGTGTTACAAACAATCCAAAAATCAATGAGATGTTAATAAGTTTCAAAAAAAAGCCACATGACAGACTACAGTCCGACAAATTTTTATTACAAGTCAATAAAATCATTCTGTGCGACAAATGAAGTTTAACTACTAATATATGTAAGTTGCTTAAGGAGTAAAACAGTCATGGAAGAAATGCCATCTTATTATAATTACCAGTGATGGATACAGGGATTACCAGTATGCATATCCTTAAAAATTATTTTGTAGAAAAAAATTTTTTTCAGTTAATGGCATTGCTCCTGTAATAGAGAAAAAATAGTTAGGATTGGTCCACAGTATGGATTCATAGCACTTTTAGAGATCTCATCAAGTATTTAAGCTATTTATTTTATCACTACTGACAACAGTTATCTATTAACAATTTTAATAAAAATCTTGTAAAATTATGAATAATAATATCTGTTATCAATTGACTTAACATCAAACCTTTGAATAAACTGCAGCAATGATGACAAAGAATTATAACATGTGATCTACATAGAAGTAATGTATGTCTCTAAAGAAAATTTTTAAAGATATAAAGTTATTTTCATAATATTAATAATACTTTATAGGATTAATTAAAAATCAAGGATAAGACGTCTGCTTCTAGATAGAGTATAAAATATATGAATAACCTTCACTTCCACTAAAAAAGCAAAATAAAGTTAATGGATAAAATAAAATCATATTTTTCTATAAGGCTTTTGAAGAGCAATAGGTACAAAAAAGTCTTGTTGATTAAATTCAGATTAATACATATCCTTCAAGAGTACCCCCATGACACTCACTTCAAGAGTGACTAGTGGGCCATGGCAACTTTCATACCTTGAGAAAGCAGAAGTGTGGGCCGCTCACAGACTGGGAGACTGAAAACTTTGCAACACTGAGGAGAAACAAGTCAAGCTTTGGGTGATATTATGAGCTAATAGAATGGGTTGGTATCTGAAATTTCCAAATGGAAAAAGATGTTGCTAAACCCCACAATTCTCCGTCGCTTTTTCATCAGACTGTAACCAAGAAAGCAGAAGTAGAGAAGAAGTGTAAATAAAAGAAAATTTATGTAATGCCATGCATTCTCAATGTGTTTGGATTCCGAGGTTCTTGCAGAATTGAATCCAAAGTTTCAATTCAACTTTCTGAAACTGGAATAACTCCTTCTCAACTCAAATCATACAAAGTCAAAAGCTTAGTCCTTTGCTGATGGTGGCATAGAATTTAAAGATATTGTTAACCTGAAGTGAACTCAATCTAAATAAGTATATGTCCCATTCTCAGCTCAAATTAGCCTTGGAGGAATCGAAATGATCAGCCCTTCATTGTAACTTCCAGTTACAGGAGAAGACTTGCACTGTCCAGGAAAGCAATGAATAAACATTATAAAATATATTACATTCTTCACTATCCTTTTAAAAAACAGTACCTGGAATAAAATACAAAATTAAAACACATAGAAACAAAAAAATTCACTCCATAGTCAAGAGAAAAAAGAGATAATAGGAGCAGACCCATGGGTATCCAGCTGTTCAAATTAATATTAAAGAACTTTAAAATAACTATTTAAAATGTTTTTTAAATACAGAAAAAACAGGTGAAGAGCTACAGAATTTTATCAATAAAATGGAAACTTTTTAAAGAATCAAATGCAAATCAAAGAAGATAACAAATTAAATAAAAAATATTGGATGGGGAAGTACTATTTACAATAGCAAAAATGTAGAATCAACATAAATGCCCATCAACAGAGGATTGGATAAAGAAAATGGGGCACATATATACCATGGAATACTATGAAGCCATGAAAAAGAATAAAATTATGTCCATGGATACAGCTGGAGATTATTATCCCAATCAAACTAACACAAAAATAGAAAATCAAATACTGCATGTTCTCACAAGTGGGAGCTAAACATAGGGTACATATGGACATAAAGATGGGAACAATAATCATTGAGGTCTAGTAGAGGGGTGAGAGAGGGAGGGAGGCAAGGGCTGAAAAATTAACTACTGGGTACTATGCTCACTACCTAAGTGACAGGTTGAATCATACAGAAATCTCCAGCATTACCCAATATACTCATGTAACAAACCTGCACATGCAACTTTGATTCTAAAATAGAAGTTGCAAAAGAAAATAGAAAAGAAGTATTTTAACCCCTACTCCCCCTGTTAGAACATATTACCAAATAGTTCTTTTCTCCCCAAGTGTGGTCTCTTCTGTGATCTTTAACCATAATTTCCAAAAATAAAATAAAATAAAACATTGTTTAAAATTGGATAGGCTTAACTGTGCAGAAAAAAGGATCAGTGAATTTAAAGACAGATTAAGAGAAAATCAATTGAATGTACCCAACTTGAAGCTCACAAGAAAAATAAAAACTAAAAAAAATAAGCAGAGTTAGTAACCTTTGAAATAATATCAGACAGCCTAACATATGTGCAATTGGAGGCCCCAAAAATAGGAGGAAAAAATGAAACAGAAAAATATACTTTAAAAACAATAGACATGATTTTTACAATTCTGATGAAAGAAAATCACTGGGGTCCAAGAATCTCATTGTACTCCAAGAATGATATATAAAAAAGAAATACCACTTAGGCAAGTCAACCTGATGAAAACTAAAGGTGAAGAGAAAAACCTTTTTAAAAGCCAGAAAGAAAACCCCAACACATTGCATACAGGAGAGAAAGAAACAACAGTATTATTTGGCTTCTCTTCATAAACGACTGAAGCCAGGAGACAATGAAATTACATCCTTAAAGTATTGAAAAAAAATACTCTAAATCTACTATTTTATCTCCAGGTAAAATATCTTGGAGAATGAAAACAAATAAGATTAACTAGTATTTCTAGATAAATAAAAGTTGAGAGAATGTGTTACCAATTGCCATATACTACAAGAACTTGGAATTTTTTAGATTGAAAGATGGCAATAGTTTCCTCATAATTTTTATTAAATGTCAAGTGACCTTTGAAACATGTTTTTCTATTTGAATTTTTTATTTTGAAAAAAATTCAAGCCTATAAAATGTTACAAAAATATATTTTTTATATTCTCCTCCCATATCCACATACACCCATGCACATGATTATACATATTTTCATATCTATACATCTTTATGTATATTATAATTGTTTACCTGTGCTAAGATAACAAGTTATTATAAACTTGGTGGCTTAAAACAACAGGAACTTATTATCTCACAGTTCTGGAGGCCAGCAGTAAAAAATCAAGGTATTGGCGGACTTAGTTCCTTCCGGAGGCTCTGAGGGAGAATGTATTCCATGCCTTCCTCCCAGCATCTGTCAATTTTAGCTGTGTCTTAGATTTTGGCTGCCCTCCAATCTCTACCACCATCTTCACATGGTATTTTACTCTCTGTGTTTCAATCTGTCTCTTGTAATAATATACGTCATAGGATTTAGGGCCCATCTTAAATGTAAGATGATTTCATTTTAAGGTCCTTAAATTAGTTACATCTGATAATGCTATTTCCAAGTGAGGTTACAATAATAAGTACCAGTGGTTAGGACTTGGGCATATCTTTTTGGAACCACTATGCAACATACTACAGTATATAATTTAGCCCCTCAAAAATAACTTCTATACCAAGTACAAAATTCATGCACCCCATCTCAGCATCAATAAATGTCTCAACACTTTAAGCACTAACTCTAAGTCAGATGTCTCATTTAACTATCATCAGCTCAAAAAGTCCGAAATTCCTTTTTCCAAGTCACCTTAATCAGGTATTGGTAAGGTTCTATGTATGACCCATCTGGGGCCAAATTCCACTCCATCTGTGGCCCCCTGAAACTAGAAAACAAGTTATCTGGCTCCAGAATAAAAGAGTGTAACAGGCACAGGATAGATATTGCCTAGTCCCAAGGGATAGTCATTAGTCTCAAGCAGGTTTGAAACTTTGCATGCATATCTCCCTATAACTGAAGGCCTGCAAATAATTTTCTGTGGCTCAGTGCTCTGCTCTCTGGGCCAAGGAGGATCCCTGCCTCTGAGTTCCCCTTTCTGGCCTCTCTCTCTTATTCGCAGCTCTACCCTCAGAGCCATATTTTCTTTTTCTTGACAGGTAGTACATGTTTGCTCCCCAGTAGCTCTATCAAGTCTGCCTGTAGACTCCCAGAAGTGCAACAGCCTTCTTTTATTTTATCCCATCTCTGTCCCTTTCACTCAAGGCTGGCATTGTTTTCAGTAATATAGCATTGTCAAAACCCTTGTGAGTGTCCTGTGTATATCAAAGGGATTCATACCATTAGAAAAGACCTTTCCCAGACACAACTTTCTGGATAACCCATCCCTATTCCTGGCTTCTGCTGAGATAATCAGTTTATTTCCCACATAGATAATCAGTTAGACTCCCACATCTAACCTCTTCAGCAAAAGTTGTTCCAGCCTCACCCTTGAACTTCTCTCCAGAGCTCGCTTTCTGAACCATGAATGTCCTAATTTTGGCATCCTTTGCAAAGTATATAGGCTGAGAATTTCTAAAATCATGAAGTTTTGATTCCTCTTTGTGTAAAACATATTCTTCTTCAATCTTTCTC
Organism: Homo sapiens; assembly: GCF_000001405.40. NCBI lineage: Eukaryota > Metazoa > Chordata > Mammalia > Primates > Hominidae > Homo > Homo sapiens. The sequence goes on along the minus strand of NW_025791781.1, from coordinate 189,775 downwards.
TGCCTTCTCATATTTTATCATAAGCATGAAGGAGAAACCAGGCTGCACCACCAACATTTTGCTTAGAAATCTCCACAGCTAAATATTAAGTTCATCACTGACAAGTTCTGTTTTCCACTCAAGTTTCTTTTTATAGCAAGGCTTACCTTTCCTTCAGTTCTGGTAATATGATGCTCATTTCCTTCTGAGGCCTTGTCAGAAGCAGCTTTAATGTTTCTATCTCTACCAGCATTATGTTCATGGCAGTATATGCATCATCTAAGGAAACCAAAGCTTGCTTCATTGTGTTTATCACTTCCTTTTGAGCCCTCACTATAATCACCTTTAACATTCATATCTCTGCTAACCATATGTTCAAGGCAACCTAGGCTTTTTCTATCATGCACCTCATTTCTTCCCATTTCTACCCATTTCCCAATTTCAAAGCTACATCTACATTTTTGGGAACTTGTTACAGCAGCTCCAGGTCCAGTACCAAACATTGTATAGGTTTCCTGGGCTGCCATAATAAATTACCACAAACTGGGTGGCTTAAAACAATTGAAATTTATTTGCTTACATTTCTGGAGGCCAGAAGCATAAAATCAAGTTGTGAGCAAGATTGGTTCCTTCTGGAGACTCAAAGGGCCAATCCATTCTGTGCCTCTGGTGGGATCCTTGGCATTCCTTGGCTTTCATCTGTCCTTACACGATTGTCTCCATGTTGACATGGCTTTTTCTTCTGTGTGTTTCTATGTCTTTTCTACTGATACATGTTGTTGGAGTTAGGACCCATCCTTAGCTTACTTCCATCTGCTAAACCTCAATTTTTAAATGATATTCACAGGTCCTAGGGGTTAGCTCATGAACATAACTTCTAAAAGCCAGTATTCAAGTTACTATATAGATCTGCATATTTCTGTGTGTGTTATTATATTTTGTTAGAAATTCTCTCTCTGTTTTGCAACTACTCAAATCTGTCATTTTATCAAGAAATGAATTCAGCCACAAGGAACATTTAGATAAGTGTGCTTGGCTTCTTCCAATAAACCTTTATTTACAAAAACGATGATAGGCAATAGTTTATCATACCATGTTTTAAAATATCAAGATTACTTGGTCTTTGGAGATGTGATAGAAATTCTAGAAAATCACCTGTAGTTCCTTAGTAAATTTTTTGATGTAATTAATAGAAAGTGTAGTTGTTTTATGTTCTTTTTTCTCTAATGGCATTAATTGTCCTAGTCTATATTTCACCAGGAAATTGTCCATTTCATCGTAGTGTTCAAATGTGCAAAAAGGTCTTCAAAAAAGCTTCTTAAGGTTTCAAAAATGTTTCCTTTTATCCCCTTACCTATTGCTTATTTTTTGTTTTTGTGCTTTATTATTTAAGAACTTAAGCAAGTAGTTAGTAGTTTGTATATTTTATAATATTGTTTGCAAACCAGGGTTTTCTATTTATTCATTATGTCTTCTAGTTTTTTATTTTCTATCATTTTATTTATTCTTTTATTATTTCTTTTCTTTTGCTTTCTTTTGGTTTACTTTGTTGTTCGTGTTTTAAGTTTTTAGGTTGAGCACTAAATTCATTTATATTCATCCTGTAATTTTTGCTTATGAAAGTGTATAGTAGTATTGAATTTCTTCTGATCAATGTTTTTAATACGCTACATAGATTCTGATATATTGTTTTTCTATTACTTTTTAGTTAGAAATTAAATCATTTTAATTTGTTTACTTCCTTTCATATAAGCACTCTTTAGCAGAAGGTGCAACTGACATTTTTAAGCAAAAATTATAAACATGTATTATGGGGTTATAAAATCTTTGGAAGTAAAGCATATAAAAATAGTAGCACAAAGTATGAGGGGGGTGTAAATGGAAGTATAATATTGTAAGGCTTTAGCATAATACATAGAGTAATATACTATTAAGGCAGATTGTGATAATTTAAGAATTTAAGGATTTGTATTGGAATCCCTAGTGTACTTGCTTTAAAAAAAATTGCCGTATAGCTAACAAAAAGAAAAGAGTATATAAAAAGGAATACTGAAAGAATAAAGCACTTGATTAACCAGAACAAGGCAGGAAAAGAGGAGAAAACGCACAAAATATGGAACAAGTTGAAAACAAACTGTAAGATGGTAGAGTTAAATTAAACCACAACGTAATTTTATTAAATAAAACTGAACTAAATACTCCAATTAAAAGGCTGATTATCAATCTGGGCTGCAAAAAAAGAAAAGAAAAGCATGTCTCAAGTAATGCTATTTAAAAGAGAGATCTTTAAACTCTAAGGACATAAGTTGAAAGTTAAATGATTGAAAAATATATACCATGCAAATTTCAGGCATAAGAAACTCTGTCAAGAAGATAAATAATTCTAAATATATATGCATCTAGGAACAGTTCTTCAAAATGAAAGAAGCCGAGTTAACATAGTTTAAAATTCTGTACAAGGAAATTACTTAATGTGGCATTTCCCAATTACATGTTTGGTTGAAAAAGGTTTCAGTGCAGTTATGCAGTAAATGCAGAGACAACAAAATCAACTTGAAAGTCCTTGTAAGATATTTCCCCATAATATCATTATAGTAACATCACATTAATAAAGGGATTATATTAATTTTATTAATAACTTTAATCAAAATCATGTTATTTCCAATCCACACATTTTTAAATTTGTTGAAGCTGAATGAAAAAAATGTGTTTTGAAAATTGAATATTAAATGTGTTTATTTATTTTGGAGTTACTTATTGTTCTTCAGGATACTCTGATATTGTCCACCAAGGTTTACTGTTAAAGTGTATACTATCACTCCACTTCCTTATCATCTATTTAAAAATATAATCTGTAACATTAAATGTATCTGTCTATATGTATAGGTCATTAGATACAAAATATATTTTCTATAATATTTAGTTCCTACATAATCCCATTCTATGATGGAGAAATGTATTTTGATATTATGCTTTAAATAAGGGCTGGTTAATTTGCTAGAATATCTCCCTTTCTCTTCTTTAAATGTTAGTTGTAATTTGTAAAATATAGATTGTTTTGGCTTATTATCTCTATTTAATTTATGGTTATTTACCGCTTTTCTTGTCATGCACAGAAATGAATGCTTATTCTTCCTTAATCTTAAACTAATCTTTATTCTAGCATCTGGTTTAAAATCTGCATCTGCTTCTTCATTTCTTTCTAATTTTTGTACAAAATGGCATATGGTATTTTTACTTCCCTTAAATCCAGTCTTACTCATTATAAATGGATATAAGCATCTGATTGTTCATTATACCTTCTAGTTTAAAAATACACTTTTAAAATAGTTTTAAAGTACATTTTTTTTCTAGTTTTAAAATACATTTTAAAAATACGTTTTAGGGGGGCTGGGCATGGTAGCTCACGCCTGTAATCACAGCACTTTGGGAGGCAGAGGCGGAAGGATCACCTGAGGCCAGGAGTTGGAGACAAGCCTGGCCAACATGGCGAAACCCTGTCTCTACTAAAAACACAAAAATTAGCTGGGCATGGTGGTGCATGTCTGTAATCCCAGCTACTTGGGAAGCTGAGGCAGGAGAATTGCTTGAACCAAGGAGACAAAGATTGCAGTGAACTGAGATCGCACCACTGCACTCCAGCCTGGGCGACAGAGCGAGACTCTGTCTTTCAAAAAAAAGAAAAATCATTTTAGTTTTAAAATACACTTTTTCCATAAAATATTTTCTGTAAGACCCTTATATTATGATGAGGGTACTATAAATTATTTTAGGATTGTATAGATAGTTTATTATTAATGAATTCGGTTTCAATTTCAATGTCCAAACACACGTTATGAAATATTGGCTAAAATGGGAGAATGTGTTGGATCTGATAAAGTTGATAGCTGATTTGACTTTTTAGCAAAATTTATGGCTAAGTTATCATTGCTCCGAGTTTTATTTTCATAAATTTTCTTGAATGTGTTTCTCTAATCGTCTGCTGTTGCACATTTTAGTCTATATGGTAAATCCTGAGGGAGACGCATATTCATTGGGTTCTCATCTTCAACAGTACAATTTCAGTTTTTGACTGTAATTGTATTAGTTTTTCTTTCCACCATTTTGAAGCCCCATCATTGTTTTTGTTAAGCTTTATAACTATAATTGTGTAAATTATCTCCCAGTAGGTTTATTTTAATTATTTCTGCTTGAAATTCTTTTCAAAGTAATTAATTTTGCTACTTGTTTTTTTTTTCACATATAATAATATGTCTTTTTATGTTCAAAATGTCATCAAGTTAGATTTTTGTTTTGCTTGTGCCAATCGGTGGGAATTTTTTAAAATCAAGAAATGAAACATTTATATTTATTATAAATTTGAAAGTGAAAAATAATTTCAATATTTCAAAATGCTATGTCCTCGAAGGAATCAAGGTTTAAGGTTTTTTTTTTAATTCGATAAACAGCAGAAAGGGAGTAGATGAAGAACCTGGCCCCCTCTCTCCTCCCTGGTTAATTAGGAGAATAGAAGTGTTGCTTGGTAGAGATGAGTAAGGGTGATGGTCTGGTCGCTTGGAGAGACCTGTTTCTGCCACACCACCTGTCACATTTAGGGCTGGATAATAGAACTGACAGATATCTTTCGTGAAATCAGAGATAATTATATCTCTTTCCAGATAATTATGTCTTAAAGCAGCAAAGCTCATTAAAGAAGGTAGTGCCTAAAGGGTTACTCAAATTTCCTTGACCCTTAGGATAATGTGGGTGGGCAACCCTGCTGCTGAGAAGGACGTGGCAATTACTTGAGGGAAAATGTTGACGCCAAAATGCGCTCAGGTGAGAGGATACAGATAACGGCAAAGACTATGTGAGGTGAAATTCATCTGAGGACACTCCCATCTCAGCGCGGGGAAGGACTAGCCACTTCAGGGACTGCAGATGGGCGAGGTGCCGCCAAGTACGGATCAGAAGGCAGCATTTAACATTGCGGATGAGGAAACCACAAGATAACCGTGCACCAGATGCATTCCGTGAGGCCATAATAAGACTCCGCAGCATCAAGATGTCATTTGGAGGAAAAAAAAATGAAGAATTCCTAAATGTGGAATTAAAATAGAACAACTTTAAAAGCTCTTCCACTAGATTCAATTATTTGCTACCAGGCAGAAATTGAGGCATAAACTGAAAAATTGGGACGTTTCTAAAACTTTGGAAGAAAAAAATGATATAACTTTTTGTTTACTCAAATTTCTGGCCTAGGAATTGTACTCGATATTAGAAGAAAAAGCATCTTGCTGGGAATGTGTGCTTCTTTCACCATCACAGGTGGCTGTTTCTTCAATAAACTGTATTGGGTAACTCAACAAGTAGATGACACCAGAATGGTGGGCACCTGAGGAGAGGGGGGTGCTCTCCAGAAAAGGCATGATGGAGCAAGGGCAGGAAGACTAAAGGCTAATCAAGTGCTAGTAACACAGTCTTCCTCCTGTGAGACCCTTCTTGAATCAAATCCAATGGGAAACAAGTCAACACATATTATTTTATATGTTTGTTACATATGTATTTTATATGTTATGTACATAGTGCATTTGATAAGTACATTCTCATTTATGATAATTTCAGTCTTCTAAATTTTAATATTCTGCTTAACAACATGGCTTGCATAAATATTTTGAGATGTTTGCTTTCTAAGAAAGCTAATTTTCTCTTATCAGTTTGCAAATATGTAAATATATACAAAAACTTTAAATACATATAAATATTCAATATGCAAATTAGAATTCTAAAATATGGTCAGTAGAGCTGATGGCAGTTTACATCATGTGAAATGAAAATGGTGATTTCACATTTGTCTCCTTTGGTGAAAATCTCCAACAGAAAAGTCATCTATTCAAATACCTGTCTACTTTCCTTTGTGCTCTAGTTCTTACTCAGATTGGACTCTAACAGTGGATATTAAAATCTTGTCTGGAGAAAGCTTCCTGTGGTCTTTTTGAAGTCTCTAATCATGCATGACACTGCTGAAACTTTAAAGTGCATAGGAATCACCTGGGGCTATTGTGACAAAGCAGATTCCTGGGTCCCAGCCTCAGAGATTCTAATTCAGTGTAGCAGGGAATGCTGTTGCTGCAGGTCTGTGACCACCCATTGAGCAGTGCTGGTCTAATTCGCTTCATTCCTAAATGGTTATATCCAACTCAGATGCAGCACGCACTTGAATTCCACCTCTAAGACCTCACTTCATGAATTATATTTTCATTTCATCCTCTCCCTGTTTTAGCTCTTTCCGCCGATACTGGAAAGACCTTATTAAAAAAAACAACAGTAACAATATCCCCTCTTTCTATCTACCTCACCCTCCTTTCTTGCTACAGTTTCTCTTTGCCTCTCCCAGCTCCACTTTTTCCAACCAAACTAGTTGCTCGCATCCTCAGCCTCTACCTTGATCCTTTCTTGTCTGATAACTCATGGCATCCTACCTAATGCTGCACTGCAATGGCTCTGATGATAACATCCGGCCAAACACAATGGTTCTTGCTGTCCTTACTTCCCTGTACCTCAGTCTGATTAAGCTATTGTTTGTACTGTAGGTCTCTACTCATTCAAACTCTATCCTCTTGACTACCATTACCAAGCTCACTCATGCTTCTTATCTTTTAAGTTTCCATTGTTCTGCTTTTTTCTAAGTTAATCCTTTGATTGTGGATAACATGCCTATTTCACCAACCTTCTGTCTTTAGCCCACACTCTTCCTAATTTTGCAATGGCTGGCTCCTAGCTGTGTTCTTACATCCTTCCTGAGTTTCTGACTCAAATGCTTAAGTGTTACCTTTGGATTTCTTACAATCGAGCTTAGAATGTCCAATAATTTCCTTTTCAGTCCTGTTTTTCCCATCTCAATATGTCGAATGATTCCACTCTGCCTCTAATCATGAAAGCCAAGCGTGTCCCGTTAAGCACCACATCTAGCCATTTGTACTTAGATATTTTCCTCCGAGGCCTCCTCCTCACCAGTGCTGTTTATGTTCAAGTAAGCCTCATCTATCATTGGGACTGTTATTGCATTCTCCTAATTGTTTTCTCTGCCTGCATCTTGCTTGACCTCTTTACCTTGTACATTGTAGCCAGGATAAATTACGTATAACAGGAATCATCATCCCTTACTTCAAATTCTTCAAAGAGCCATGCACCTCGGATTCATTAGCCTGACAGATGTTGACCTGATCCTATTTATTTCTCCAGTCTCATTTCCAAATACATCTTACTTTGCCCCATACCTGGCAGTGATAGTGAAAACACATTGCTGTCTTTTGCCTCTACAGCTCTGCCTACTTAGAATACGTTTTGCTTTATTTCTTATTGCTAAAATATGAATATAGAGATATTTATAGTTATATAACAGAAACATCTACCATTAAAATTAATCCTGCCATTTTCTCATATTTGCAACACAAGCAGATATATTTAATGTGTAAATATTAAGAGCATAGACTTTGGAACTGGGTAATCCGTGTTTGCAACCTGCTAGTTATGTAACCTCAGGCTTGAGACTTGAAATTTCTGTGCCTCAATTTTCTTATCTATAAAATTGAGGTAACAGTAGATTCTTTGTGGGCATATTGCAAGGATTAAATAAGTTAATAAATTAAATTTTCCTGGCCATTCTGAAAATAAACCTTCTATAAAAATTTCATAAATACTTTGCTCTATTGGGACATTTTATTGCAATTTCATTAAAATTTTAGCTTATGTAATTAAAAAACTTACACCCCACCTCTGCTCCTCACTTTCACTGTGACTATAAAAAATTGTTTAAACCCTGCTGGCCTTGGCTTCTCCATCTTCAAATGAGCATAATCATTTATAATATCCAAAATAATATTGTAAGAATTAAGTAAAATGATTTTTGTAAAGTACTTGGAAAAGATGCCTGGCCCATGGAAGATGTGCAAAAAATGTTGGCTTTATTATTATTATCACTACTAATTTTATCAGAATTGAATTCCTTCATTCATGAAATGGACTATCTACTTTATTCAGTTTGTCGTTGATGTACTTCAATGGCACTTTTATAAATAAAATTATTTTTTAAATCAAAATAGTTTCTTTTAATATAAAAGGTAAGATATTTTATTGCTGGTTTTGCTCTCCTAAGTAGCTACTGCTGTTAAAATTCTGTTGGTTTTCCACATTTTAATTTGTCCAGCAAATCTGCCTGAATATACATTTTCCTGTTTTTTTTTTATTTTCTGGATGGACAGTATTATTTTAAAACAGGAAAAATTAGGTTTTTATTTCCAAATATTTTACTAGATATGTACATACACATTTTGCTTGTTTCAATGTTTGTCTTGATTTCTAATAAAATGTGGCAGTAAGACACTCCTCCCTGACCAAGCTTTCATCAGGCTCCACTAAGCTGCTTTTCTCCTAGGCCTCAACCTTGGCTCCCATCCTTGCCAGATCGGCATTGCCCAGTTTTAGCAGGAATCCTGCTAAGTCAGTTTAGAGAGGGTCCCCTCTACCCTTCCATCTGAAACCCCGGCCTGTCTTCAGCAAGAATCCTGTGAGGTCGGTCTAGCAGGAATCCCCCCAACCCTTTATGACTGCTCTTAGGAGTGTTCCATCCATTGACTTCTCCCTACCCCTTGGCTGTAAAACTCTAGCAGCCTTTACTGTATTTGGAATTTATCCCAGCTCTATACTGAGGTTTCTTTTCCCCTGTTGCAGTAGTTTCTGAATAAAATCTGTCTTTACTGCATTAACTAATGTTTGATGTTGGTTTTCTTTTTGACAGTTTCTTGCTGATGAAGCTTGGATCTGGATCAGAACCACCACCAAACTCTTGGATAGGATCACTGGACCTCCCAGCTTGTGCATCAAGACTTTTTGTCTTCAGTCTACTTGCTTGTTTGGGTTTGCAGTGATGAGTCTGGCTCTAAAACCCAGTGCTATAGATAAATGTCTGTTTACATACTTTGAGTCTTAGGATTCTCAGTATAGCTTGAGGCTGGATTACAGTCCCAAGCAAACAGAGGCTGGGACAGAGCCATAGACCCCACTGTGTGTAAGAGGCAAGTTTCTGTAAGAAGCAGAGGCTGGGATAGTGTCCCAAGTTTTTCTGTTCTAAGTTTAAAGAAACTGTGTGTTCTCACTCTACTGAAAGCTCTTATCCTCAGCCAAGTTGTGCTGCTGTAATGGAATGCCACAGACTGGGGAACTGATAGTGAACAGAAATTTATTGGCTCATGATTCTGTAGTCTGGGAAATCCAAGGTTGAGGGGCCAGCATCTCGAGAGGGACTTCTTGCTGTGTCACTCCCATTTTTGGGGGAGAATATGCTTTTATTTTCAAACTCAGGTGTGTGACACTCTACAGTTCAATGCTAGCACACCTGTGTGAGGCTTAACAACACGAGGAGCTGACAGCCAGTGATACACAAATTCAGCACCTCCCTCTCCATTTATTCTGTCAGGCTATACATGGGGAGCAACAAATACGGCTATGTGGCAGCAAGAAAGTGAAGGTCTTTTTAGGAGGTGACATCAACAATGACGCAAACACACCACTCTGCAACCGAAAGCAAGGAACCAGAATCCTAGGGCTACGCAGAGATGTCAGACTTCATAGGTGTTTCAGGACTTTTATTTCAGACCAACATCACCACTGGAAACCCAGGGCTTGTTTCTCTCCAGTTCACTACTGCTTGGGCAGCAGCTCCAACTGCTTGGAAGGACAAAGAGATGGTGAGAGAGAGAAAAAGGGGGACAAATTCATCCTTTGAAAAGGAGCTTACTCCTGTGATAATGGCATTCACCTCATCACGAAAGCAGAGCCCTCCTGGCCTAATCACAGCTCATTAGGCCCCACCTCTTAACATTGTCACATTGGAGATTGTTTCTAGCACATGAACTTTGGGGGACACATTTAAACCACAGTACCCTCTCTTCTCAAACTCCTGTGGACAATACCCTTTGCCACTGTGGCTGTGGCTGTAATACCATTGGCTTTCTTTCACCCTGGAAAACCTTTACTAAAAACCCTCTTGACCTACAATGGCCCTTCTGGGGATCCTTGTCTGTCTTGATATTGGTTCACCTAGAAGACACTTAGAGTAACAAGAAACAAAAATCTTGGATGCACAATTCACTTATTCTGCTTGGTATGAAGAAGCTGAAAAATGACTAAATAATTCAAGCTGTACTCAAAACTCTAAAACAAGAAGAACTTCTTAAACAAGGTATTCAGAAAACATTTTCTGACCCAGTTAGCCCTGTATACCCCTCCTATGATATTCCCGGAGTCCCCTCGCAGCCCTCCTCTGTATCTTTCTTTCTCAAAATGTCCCCTGCACGTCTCATCCCTAGTCCTTCAGCTCCCTAGAGCTGTCAGGCTCACTGGGCCCTCTCTCCTGTAGGTGAAGCCAGAGACGCAGCCTGTACTTGTTTCCAAGTGCGGACCACCGAAGAGATAATACTTAATTACTTGTTATCACCAAGGACTCTCCTGACCCCCAGGAGGTAAGGGAAAGGTTTACTGAACAATTAAAAATTTTTCTGAGAAAATACTCTCTGGAACTCTCTGACTCGTATCAACTCATCCTTATTCAAGGGGCCTGGAGATGCCTCCCATTGGTTTGAAAAAGCCAAATGTTTTATCAACCTTGAGAAACATTAAAAATCTCAGACTTCCCCTGATTCCCATCAGAAACTGAGGGAAGTAAGAGGAAAAAGTACTAGGTACTACCCCTCAGGACGATCTCACTAAAATTGATTGGTCATGCATTCAAAATTATAAACCAAAAAGGGCTGAAACTGTGGTTAACCACCACCATTGATTACAAACAACATGGAAGAACATTTGGGGCTGGAACTGACTTCCCAAGCAGCTTCTGCTCTGGCCACAAACTGAAAATGGTCTGAGACAAGAGCTGCATGACACATCACAGAATAATAAAATTAATTGGTAAACACAAACATATCCAAACTGTAGGCATTAGCTCAGTATTATGAAAACAGTATTTTTTTTAATAAAAAGGAAAATAAACATCACGAGTTTATGGCATTTCAATTGAAATAGAAAAACCTGGAAAATGTAATCAATAGCAAGCTCTGAAACTATGGGCTCCCACTGACTGGGCCACTTGCTGGCATTATCATAAAAGGTGACACTGGGCCCGAGGTTGCCAGGACACCAAGAGGAGGGAAGAAGCCTGAGTCCCTGCCTCCCCAGGAAATGACTGACACCCCTCCAAGAAAGAAAATGTCCAATGCCCTCAACTGCCACTTACCTGTAATGGAACGGGAATAACCTCGTTTCCTCTTCCCTTCCTTGGGGCCACCGCAAATTACGAGTGGTGGGTTTTTATAATTTGCCTCATTGTTTGCCTCTGCCTCAATCTCTTAATATTCTTATGGGACTCCTGAAAGCTAAACACAACTCTCTTCTCAGCTCTGCCCCCAGGAATCCTGTTAGGAAGAGATCGTCTCTCCACAGGGATATCAAATTCACTGTGCCCCAGGGGACTCCTTAAGTCTCCCTTCCCCAGTGGCTTTGTCTGACTTCTCTGAGTCCATTCTCGCCTTCAAACTACCATACATTTAGCTAAAAATTTAAATCAACTACTAAACAGATTTTTCTCTTCTCTATGGACAACAAACAAACAAACAAACTTCACTGATACTGGATTTGTATGGAATGTACAATCCCTTAAAGTAGAAATAGGTCCTTCCATGCCTGTCCTCAAGATTCTCTAATATCATTTAAAATCAGAAGGACATGAGGGCTGTACTCAGTAGTCCCAGGTTTATTTGACAAAAACTTTTAGTCTCAGGCAGGGTGCGGTGGCTCACGTCTGTAATCCTAGCACTTTGGGAGGCTGAGGCAGTTGGATCACCTGAGGTCAAGAGTTCGAGACCAGCCTGACCAACATAGTGAAACCCCTTCTCTACTAAAAATACAAAAAATTAGCTGGGCATGATGGCACATGCTTGTAATCCCAGCTACACAGGAGGCTGAGGCAGGAGAATAGCTTGAACCTGGGAGGTGGAGGTTATAGTGAGCTGAGATCATGCCATTGCACTCCAGCCTGGGCAACAGAGAGAGACTCTGTCTCAAAAACCAAAAAAAGAAAAAAAAAAAACCAACTTCTAGTCCACTTGTAGTTTATGAATATTCCCATCTTAGTCATTAAAATCCTAAATGGGAAGGGTATCATTGAGTCCAAGATCTAAGACCTATCAATAAAATGGTCAAACCTGGGTTTCCCTGAGTGCTGACTCCTGCCACTGTACTGTCTGTTATCACTTACAACACTCAATATGTCACTGTCATCAATTTTTTTTCTGCCTTTTTTAGTATACCCCTTCATAAGGAACTCCAATACTTGGTTGCCTTCACCAGAAATATCCAACAATGTACACAGACTAGTATGACCCAAGGATTTACAGAGGCCTCTACCTACCTCTTGAACACTCTAGGTGTCAATTTTTGTCTTCCCAAGTGACGCCATTTTACTCCAGTATGTGGATGACCTCCTTCTAGGTACTGAGAGTTAGGTCACTGAGCACCTTCTTAAGGCATGAGCAAGAGAGGATCACAGGGTGGCTAGAGACAAAATTCAGTGGCACTTACTATGTCTGTTGTATCTGGGCCACGGTAAAACTCTCTCCACAGACCAAACCTCTACTATTTAATACTTTCCTTTTTTTGAAACAAAGTAATGCTGAGAAGTTTTTGGGCCTTGCGAGATGTTGTAGGATATGGTACCTAATTTCTCCATAATTGCTGCAGTGCTCTGTGCCCTGATTAAGGAGTCATCTCCAAACCAAGTAGTCTGAGACTTGCTATCCAAAAATGCTTTTGATAATTTTAAGGGCTCTCTACTTTCACACCCCTCCCCCGTTACTTGGACTCCCCAGTTACTTCCTGACTTTTCCCTTGTTCATGGATAAATGTGGAGGTCATGCCCTGGTATATTATTCTAGAAACATAATGGATACCAGAGACCTCTGTAATATTGTATTTTGGCCTTGACCCAGTAGCTTGACCCATTAGCTAAGGCCTTTGAGCCATGACTGTTGCCTTTGAGCCATGGCTAGAACTGCAAAGCATGTCCAAAATACCACTGATGTGGTATTAGGTCAACCAAATGACACACATGTTCCCCTTGCTATACAGGCCCTTCTTGCTTAATGAAAACACATAGCACTTTTCTGCATCTTGACTTACCTCATGAAAGCTCATTACACTCTCCTTCTCAAATCACCATATATCATCATCAAAACCCTAACCTTGCCAACCTTGCTTTCTTTGCCCTTTGATGGGATGCCACCATGAACGTGTCATTAACACTAGATCTTGTCCTGGGCTAGATTTATCGGAGAGCCCCTCCGCCAAGTTGACCTCAACCTTTGTGTCTATGGCTCCCTCTTTAGAGGGAGAATGGAACCTTCTGGAATGGATATGTCATCACTTATCAACACAAACCTCTTGAATATCAAGCCCTGACAAATGTTAAATCAGCCAGGGTGGCAAAGTTATTGCTCTCATTCAGGCTTGCAAAAAAGCAGAGGAAACAAAGGTTAGGGTTTATAGTACTGTTATAGCCACGGTACCTTTGAGGTAGTACATGATGTGGATATGTTGTAAAAGAGGATACATGACAGCAGCTTGTGCACCAGGCAAAAGCAGACATCTAACAGCAGAACCTCCAGAAGGATTGTTAGCACCCTGGTAGATGGCTAGTGTTAAAACTGAGGGACACAGTAGGAAAAGCTCGGCTGATGCCTGGAGAAATAAATTGGCCACTTATGTGTGTTAAATTAACAGCCATTTTCCCAACCACTCAAGGCAGCCAGACCCTTTCCAAACTTTGGAACGATGAGTCTGGGTCCCACTTCAAGGCCCTAAACACCTGGTAGAAGTATTCATCCCCTCCTTGGCTGCTTGGCTCAGACAAATGCTTTAAGATGCACTTAGGACACAACAAGGCCACCATTTGGCTGCTCTGAAGTCTACTGCCTGAGCCACTGTGTGGCCACACAACATGACTCAGTATGGAATGGACAAAATATGAGATATTTTAGACAAACAATAGTTTGGATTTTTTCATTTGTGTTTGGACCAAGCGATTGCCACTTGCCTCATCTGCCAGAAACATAACCCTGGAAAAAAACTGTGAAGTTAGGACGAGGATGGCAAGCAACTTTCACTTCCTTCCACCAACCCGGACTCTTCCTGATGAAATCCCTCAGGAAGGTCAGTTGCCTCAGCATTCCTACAATGAATTTTCTCCACTTGGGGTATCCCCTATACCATCTCTAGTGGCAAAGAATCACATGCTATTCACAGAATTATACAGGAAATTCAAATGACAATAAACATTACACAAACACCCCACTTCTCTTACCAACCTCAGTCCCCAAGCACCATACAAAAAGCCAACAGCATCCTCAACACTAATCTGGCTAACCTATTTAAAGAATTGCACTGACCGTGGCCACCAGTGCTGCCTGTCACTCTATGACTCTGAGATCCTCCCCACTGTCTCCACATAAGTTCCGGCCTTTTCAAATTCTCACAGGTAAGGGCATGCACATGCCTTAGTCATCTGGGCTAGCAGAAGATTCTAAGGGACTCATCTCACATTCTTAGATACTGTGGAGGGCAATGAAATATACTCAGGACTATGATTGCTGTGTCAAGGCTGCCTCTTTTAGAACTTCCTGATTGTCCCTTACACAGTTTTACCAGGGGATCTAGTGCTCTGGAAACACCACCATCAAAAAACTGGAATTTAGATAGAAGGAAACGTGTACAGTTTTACTTATTGCTAACACTGTTGTTAAATTACAGGGTGTTCAATTTTGTGTTCCAGTTTTTCCACTAAAGAAATGCAGAAGTTATTAAGACTGGAGAAGTTTTCCATTCAGAGACCTCAAACCAAGCTCTATGGAGAGCCTCTAGAGGCAAATGATAGCGAGAAGCATCAATTGTCCTAATATCCATGGAACAAGCAGATGATGTTGTGAGGGGTCCAGTCAGCTTCTGCCCAGGACCAGGGAACAGCACACACCTAATTTGCCTTCCTACATCCTCCTGCTTTATCCTTGCCCTTTGCCTAGGAGTCCCCTGCTCTTCCCAACTCATTTCTCAAGAGTCGTTTGTGCCCACCGTAACTCCCTGCCTTCAGCATAACTTTTCTCGCCTGACTTTAATATTCAACTTCATGTTTTTGCCCCTACATTTAGGAGTTTCTGCTCCTTCCCTGCCCTTTTCTTTTCTTACCTCTTAGTAAGACTTCTTCACCCACACAACCTTTGGAAAGCCTGGCCCCACTAGTCACTTCTTCCCACAACATCACAGAGTGTAATGCTGTGCCCCCTTTCCCATGGACACATCTAGAATTTCCCAGATTTCTTTGATCAATTGAAATGCTTTTTTTATTTTTTTATTTTTATTTTTTTTGCTATGGCCCTTTCTTTCCCTTCACCTTCCTAAACCAGACTATAGTAATACATCGTGAGAAAACCTTGAATCTATGCCTTTCTATTTTCACAAAGGTCATGTCTGTATTATTTTAGTTACACCAGTGTCCCCTTTCTGGGAATGAGCGTTTGCCATCACATTTACCTAGCATTACACTAAATCCAAAATAAAGCCTCCAAGCTACAGATTCCTGAAACATCCCTCATACAAATGGAATTCTCCTCAATGCCCCACCCAACCTAATTTACTGGACCAAAATGAACCACATATGGACTAACCACCTCTGGCAAATTCTTTTCCATCCTCAAAATGTGAATTATCTTGGCAGCTTCAGCAATTGGATACTTATTTATATGACCCTGGCTAGCTCCTGATGGTTCTAACTTTTTCTGTGGAACTCATGCCTATTGGCTGTTTCCGGCCAACTGGGCAGATTCTTGTTATATCTCCAATCTTACTATTCCCTTTATCATACTCAATTCCTCATAATGTTTTTATTTTTGAGACAGAGCAGAGACCTGTCTTAGGAGCCTGCCAGGACTCTCTCCCCTACCAGGAAAATCTTGAATTCCTTCAAGGGACACTCCAGGCATCTAGCTAGCCCTGAGAAGTAAATGAGCAGCTTGGTAGCAATTAGGCAATAGGAGCTTAAAACAACAGCCAAGGACGTTAGAGTCATGAGATATTCCCTATAGCAACTAAAGATAGCATTTTAACATAGGTCTCTGAGTTGTTTTTCAGAAGCCCAGATCCCTACCCAGTGGATCCATGGACACACAGACCTTGGATAAGAGGGAACTGAAAACTGAACTCTGGCCATCATTCTTTGTTCTTCCTGAGGGCCTGGAGGAAATCACACCCATGAGCCAAAGCTAACATTCCTTTCTTCTGACCCCAAGTTTTAAGACAAATCTTTGCCTCCTTAACCAATCACAAATCAGAAACTCTACCTATGACCTGTAAGTTCCCACTTCAAGATGACTCACCTTTTAGGTCAAACCAATGTACAGTCTCCATGTATTGATGTATGACTTTGCCTATGCCCTCTGTCTCTATGCCTTTAAAAATCCTTACTTGCAAGCCATTGGGGAGATTGAGCCTTAAGAATGAACGGTGTGATTCTTCTTGCTTGGTGCCCTGCAAATAAATGCCCGTTCTTCCCCTGCAAACCTCAATGTGGGTGTTTGGCCTTAAGGCACCAAGAGAGCTGACTCCAGTTCAGTTCAATAACCTTTTCTTGAATTATTTCTAAACGCATCAGTCACTGCCTTCTGTTCACCTTTCTCTCATCATGGAAACAAAAGAGGTGTCCAGGACATCACAAGTTCCCTTGTAGATGATCTCTGCTCTGGTAGGTTATTTATAGAAAGCAGCTACAGAACTGGGCCTATATTCCATCCATGATCTCCCTACTTTGTGGAAAAGAATTGCCACTTTTTGGAAACCATCCCAAGGAACCTATCACCTGGCTGAAAAAGTTCAATTCCACAACAGCATCATCTACTCATTGCAGAAGCAACTCTCCTTGTGCCTGAACAATGCCACCAATGGCCTCCAATCCCTGGCTCACCCATGACAGGAAAACCGTGCATGCTGCCCTCTATAGCCACACTGTCTTCAACAGGATCCTGGCTGCAGAAGCGGGTGCTCGAGTGGTGGTTGGAAACAACTGGTGCATCTTCCTCCTGACAAACTGTCTTAAATCTTTCCTATAACCAAGAAGGTTGTAGAGGCAAACAAGAAATCTGTTTCATCACTGCCATTTTACTAACACCAAGGAAAGATTGTAGGTCCTGGGATGTTTTTGGTGATCCCTGAAGACCTGCAAAGTTGGGCTTATAGATTGACTCAGCCTGTTATCTTTGCTGTTTCTCTTCATAGCTATTCTTCTCTAAATGTCATAAGGCTCGCATGCATAGTACAGCAATTGAAAGCTTTCACCAAGTCTCAACAGGTGGTTCAGCTGCTCCCAATGAACAAAAGATGCTCGAATGAGAAAAGGACTTATATTATTCAAAGGAAAAAGAATTCATCTGATCAAGAGGAGGAACTGACAAGACACTCTCCATGACCAAACTTTTGTCCGGCTCCTCACAACCTTCTTTTCTCCTAGGCCTCAACTGGCCCCAATTCTTGCAGAACTGCATAGCCTAGTTTTAGCAAGAATCCTGCTAAGGCAGTTTAGAGAGGATCCCTGATACCCTAGCCTGTCTTCAGCTGGAATTCTGTGAGATTAGTTTAGCAAGAATCTCCCTTACCTTTTTTGTCTGCTTTTAGCAATTTCCATCCACTGACTCCTACCGCACACACAAACACACACACAGACACACACACTTTAGTGTCTTTACTGTATTCAGAATTTAGCCCAATTCTATATCAAGGTGTATTTTCCTTTATTGCAATAGCTTATAAACAAAATATTTTAAAAAAATTTTACTTAACTAGTGTCCAGCTCTGGTTTTCTTTGGCAACAGCGCACTAAGGGTTACAATGGCTGTGATTGTCTTCCATCTGACTTTAAACTATAATATTGTAAAAATTGAATTCCAACTGTGATATTACTAAGAGTTTGTAAAAAGTGGTTTTCATTTTAAAGCTATTTATTTTGTCTGCTTGGAACATTTTGTCACTAGCACGTGTTAAATGTCTCAGATTTTTCTGTTATTAATGTTCATTTTATCTTCATGTATTTCCTTGCATCCTTCTGATCATGGTTTTTTCCACATAAATCCGTTAATGTGGTAATTTGCATTAATAGATTTATCACGTTGAAATATTTTTTCACACCTGAGACTAAATTTATCTCGTAATGACGTTTTGCTAGTTTTCATTTACCATTTTTTATTTAGGATTTTTCACTTTGCTCATAAGTTAGATGGGGCCTTAATTTTTTTTGGGAGGGGGCTCTAGTTGTCTTATTTTCTTATCAATGCTGCATTACACTCTTACAAAAAATAAAAGTTTTACTTTTTTCATATTCTCTAAATCACTTTGAATTTGGTAGGAATTGTTTTTTTTCTTGAAGATTAGTAGAACTTGTTTATAAAACCATCTGTAATTAGTTCCTTTGGTTAAGGAGTACAGGTGACTAACAATTTAAATTTTTCATTTTGTTGTTTTAATCAGATCTTCTTTTAAAACAAATAATTGTAATTTATAGCTATTTAACTTTATTCCTTTCATCTAAGTTCAAAATAAAATATTGACATAATTTGTTCAAAATATTTGTTAATCATTAAATACATTTTAGTTATAATCATGCCCACTTTTATTTCTTTAAGTGTTTATTCTGCTTCTTTCTTATTTAGTTATTCTTGTTTGCAGTTTTTTCTTTGGATGAATTTTGAATTTTGCTGCTACTGCCACTGCTGCTGTTGGCGGTTATTTTTAGAACTGGTTTTTGTTTGGGGGTGGACATTGCTGCTTGCTAGTTAGTATCCATACTCCTCCATCTTTCCCCAAAAATCTCTAATTTGTTTAGCTATGTCTTCCTTTCTACTCCCTGGGACACAGGGAAGCCAACCATAGCATCACCTACAGCATGGACCTCAGCACCTTAGGAGTAGTTCTGCCTTCCTAGACAGTGATCAATTCTCAAATGGTTGTGTGAACACACCTGTCCTGACGTGATGCCAGTAGACATTTGTAAAATAATTTGGGAATATTATTTTTCTAAGTGAGTTATTGGAAGTCATCTTTTCTTCTTCTAGGATTTATTCTGCAAAAATGTAAGGCCTGGAAATACTGTGATATCTAATTGCCTCTCTAAAGATGAAGCCAAAATACGGAGGGACTGCTGAGAAATGGGCCTGAGATCACCGGCTGCAACACGCTTGAATCCTGTTCTAACTCTGCCTTCACATGTGTGATGGTTCATTTTCTCTGTCAACTTGGCTAAAGTAAGGTAACCAGTTGTTTGGTCAAAACTAGTTTAGATGTTGCTGTAAAGATAGTTTTTATAAGTGATTAACGTTTAAAATCAGTTGATTTTAAGTAAAGCTAATTACCCTCTATAATGTGGGTAGGTCTCATTCAATTAGTTGAAAGCCGAAGAGCCAGACCTGAGGTTTTCCAGAGAAGAAAGAACTCTGATTCTAAACTACAACATCGTAGGTCGGCCTGACTTAGCAGTCCCCATAATTGTGTGAACAAGTTCCTTAAAATAAAATAAACCTCTCTCTTTTTTTATATACATGTACATATATGTATGTGTGTGTATACAATGTCCACCTCCAAACAAAAACTGGCTTTAAAAATGTATATACACACACCCGTGTATGTATATATATATCACACATACACATATATAATACATACACATATGTGTATATATGCAGTATATATACACACACATATATACTCATTATTCAATTCAATATTTAATATTTATATGTATGAAACTATATTACATTTCTATATAACAATATGCAGTTATATATATTACACAAAATATAACAGAATATATATACTCTGGTTTTTTGGGAAAACCTAACTAATAGAGTGAGTTACGCAATTTTCTTAATTTTAAGCCAGTTTGAGCTGAACTTTTACTTGAAGTAAAAGTATCCTAATATTTTATTATATCTATAGTTCCTCTTTTCCTGTTTTATTAATTTCTCCTCTTACCTTTATTATTATTATTTTAAATTTTATTTACAATAAATAAAATTTATTAATTTGTAATTTATTATTTAATTTTAATATTTAATTTTTACTATTAAATTTTTCTATTTCCTTTGGATTTACTCCCTTTTGTATCTTCTTGAATTAAATTTATTTCATTTAATTTCAATTATCTCTTTCTTCAATTATACTACAAAATATTTTATATTGTTACTTGCTTAGAATCTTGCTACAAACCTTGCCTGGGCAAGTAAACTTTGACGTTAACTTTGGATTAAAAGGGTATATTTATGCTCAAACTATTAGTTAGTGCCTTAGGTCTTTGACTTCAATGAAAATTTAATAACCAGTACTGAAATTTTAAAACAATATATAAGAGGGCAAATCCAGAATAATCATGTAATGCCTCCAAAAATTTATTTCTCTATAAAAGCAATGAGAATACTGGTTAAAAAAAAATTGTCAAAATCAACTTTTACAGAACTCTGGAAAGTAACCAAAGGCAGGCAATAATCTGAAAACTGCTTAATCAAGAAAAAAAGCCGAATCTTAATAAGATTGAGCTTTGTGTCATTTTAACTTGCCCTCTTCCCCTTCTGCTTTTCTCAGCTCCAAGGAAACCTTAAAAACCACCAGTCTTGTAATCACGTAGGGATGAAAACCAGCAGCCAATCAGCCACTATTGGGGGAAGAATGGGTTGGGGCTTTTTCAACCATCTCATTTCCAGAGGACTGTCATTATTTGACCTGTCTGGCCGTTTTCTGAGAAGCCATTACATGGAGCTCGTCTTTATTAGAACTGACTCAGAGCTTGTCCAATGCAAATAGCCCTCTCCCTCGGATATTTATTGGAAAGAAATCAGTGACAATTGGTTTAACTTCACATCTGCCTAAGGCAGTGATGTAGGTAAGGCTAATAAGAAACTGACTACAAAACTTGAAAAGCTGGGGAATGAGACAATCATAAAGAGCTTTGAAAAGCCTAGAAATATCCTGGGAATCTAGAGGGCTACATCCATGTGCAGATCTGGGCACATGCTGAGAAATAATCTGATAAGGTCCCAATTTCTCATCTCTGACTGATTTTGAGGCTCTGTGAAAGCAGAAAGCAAAGAATAAAGCAGTGTATATAAACTGCACATGCCCCAACTCACACATTCTCTCAGCAAGATTGGGAGTCTTACTGGTTCAAAAAAATTAATGTCCACTCATTAGCTGACCACTGAACTACAAAAACAGAGACTTCAGTGGCCTTACGTAACAAAGAATGCACACATAGCAAAATTAGCTTAGGAAAGTCACTATACAAATAGCAATAACATCGATACGACAAACAGTAATAATAAAAATAAATTATAGGGAGTAGAAATCTGATTTTCACAGTTGCTACATTATATAATTATGAGATACAAAATGAAAAAAATGAGATACAAAATGAAACAAAAAATATGGTTCATATACAGAAAACAAAGCTCAATATAAACTATCCGGGGAGAACACCAGAAATTGAACTTACTAGATACCAATGTTAGATCAGCTATTTAAAATATGTCCAAATAATTAAAGGAAACTATAAAAGTAAATCAAACAGAGAATATCAATGCAAGAGATACAAATTCTAAGTAAACCAAATAGAAATTCTGGAGTTGAAAAGAACAGTAAGTAAAATAACATATTTATTAAAATGTCTCGACAGGAGATTTCAACGGGCAATTAATGTATCTTTAAGTTTAGTGAACTTGAAGATACGTTAATTTAGATTATCTGGTCTGAGAAACAGAAAGAAGCAAATGAAAAACCAGAAAATTATGGGCCACCATGAAACACATGAACATCTAAATGTTGGCAGTTCCGGTAGGAGAGAAGAGAAGGAATGCTTGAGGAAATAATTGCCAAGAATTCCCAAATTCAATGAAAACTTTTAATTTACACATCAAAAAACCCTGAAATAATAGCAAGTAGAATAAACTCAAAGATTTTTCACACCTAGAAACATCATAATCGAAATGTCAAAAACCCAAATTAAAGAAAAAATCTTGAAAGGAGGAAGAGAGAAATGGCTTGTCATGTCCAAGGAATCCTCAATAAAATTAACAGCAGGTTTCTCACAAGAAATCATGGCGGGCAGAAGGGAGTGGATGACATGTTTACAGTGCTTAAAGAAGATGACTGTCAACAAAGAACTCAATACCGAGCACAATTTTGCTTCAAAAATGAAGCAGAAATTAAGACTTCCCTAGGTAAACAGAAACTGAGGGGATTTATCTCTAGCAGATTTGGTTTATCAGAAATACTAAAGAGAGTTCTTTAGGTTGAAATGAAAGGACTCTAGACAGTAATTCAAACCCATATGAAAAAATAGTAGTACCAGTGAAAATAACTATAAAATACAGTATAAATACATTGTTTATAAATAGCTATAAACAAACTTGTGAAGTTGTTACAAATTAAGATGCTCATTTTAATCTCATGCCAACTACTAAGAAAATAACTAAAATATTATTTTTAAAAATGACAATGGAATTAAAATGATATACTAGAAAATATCTATTTAACATAAAAGACAGTAATAAAGAAATAGACCAACAAAAGAGAAATAAGAAGTAAAAAACAGCAAAATGGCAATCATAAATTTTATCCTAACAAAAATTATATTAAATACAAATGAACTGATTGGCAGATACAAAAACATAATCTAATTATATCCTGTCTATAAAATACACAATTTATATACAAAGACAAAAGTAGTTTAGAAATAATAGGATGAAAAAGATATACCATGTAAATGGTAAACAAAAGAGAGCTAGAATAGTTATGCTAATGGAAAACAATATGTATTTGCAGGCAAAAATTATTTCTAGAAACTGAGAGGGAAATTTTATAAGGATAAGTTCAATCCATGAGAAAAGCATAACAATTATATAAACATGCATGCCCTAACAACAGAAGCCTGAAATATATGAAGCAAAAACTGGTAAAAATAAAGGGAGAAATTACAATTTAAGAGAACTAGTTGAAGACTTCAATACCCTACTTTCAAAAATGGTTAAAACACCTAGACAAAAATTAATAAGGAAGACTCAAACAACTCTGCACATCATTTTGACCTCTGTAGATGACAGATGTTACCTATCATTATAGATGATAAGACATGTGCAGAATGCTCCATCCAAAAAGAACAGAATATAAGTTCTACTCAATTGTATATGGAAATTGTCCAGGACAGAGCATATGTCAGGCCACAAAATAAGCCTCAATTAATTTAAAATAATTTAAGTAATACAGAGTATGTTCTCTTACTGCAATGAAATAAAACTGGAACTTAAAAATAGAAATAACTGGGGAATTTAAAAAATGTGGAAATTTTAAAAAGACCCCCACACACTGCTAAATTATCAGTGAGTGAAAGAATAAATCACATAGGGAATTATAAAAATATTTTGAGATGAACAAAAATGAAATAAAACATAGCAAAGCTTCTGTGAAGGAGCTAAAGCAGCGATAAGAGAGAAATATGTAGCTGTAAGCAACCTGTACTTTAAACTGTCTTAAAAAAAACTTTAACATTCCACTTAAAGAAACTAGAAAGAAAAGAACAAACTAAATACAAAGCAAGCAGAAAGAAGGCAGAAACAAATATTGGAAAGGAAATAAATGAAATAGAGAGTAGATAAGCAATAGGGTACATTTAAAAAGCCAAGTTATTTATTGAAAGACCAATGAAATGGACAAACCTTTATCAAGATTAATTTTAAAATGTGAATGATGATAAGTTTTGGAGACTCAAATTGTTAAAATCAAGAATGAAATAAGAAGCATTATTACTTAACCTTATAAAAAGGATTAAAATGAAATACCATAAACAATTGTATTTCATCAAATTACATAACCAGGATAAAAGTCTAGAAATACGTAAATGATCACAAATGAGTCAAGAAGAAATAAAAAATCTGAATAGACTGAAAACAAATATATTTACTTAGTAATAAATTTTAAAACTTGCCAAAAAAAATGATCAGGTCCAGATGGCTTAACTGATTAATTCACCCAAATGTTCATGGAATAATTCATACGAATTCTTCACAAAAATCTTCCAAAACTAGAAGAGGAAGGAATACTTCTCAACCCATTCTATGAAGTCAATATTACTGTGACACCTGGCAAACACAACTACATTTCAATATCTCTTGTGAAAACGCACACAAAATCCTCAACAAAACAATAGCGAGTCAAATCTAGTACTGTGTCAAATGATTATAAATTGTGACCTAAGTAAGATTTATGCCAGGAATGCCAAGTTGTTTCAATATGAAAAGTTAATGAATGTAATATATCATATTAATAGAATAAAGGAAAAATAATAACCCCAGTTGATGCCAAATAAAACCCT
The DNA here is from genome assembly GCF_000001405.40 of Homo sapiens. Lineage (NCBI taxonomy): Eukaryota > Metazoa > Chordata > Mammalia > Primates > Hominidae > Homo > Homo sapiens. The sequence continues at coordinate 165,312 of NW_025791781.1, read as the reverse complement.
TAGATAGAATACAGTACACTTTCATGATATAACTGTCAACAAACTAAGAAAAAAGGGGAACTTTCTAAACCTGACAAAGGAAATCTACAAAAACAACAACAACAACAACACATAGATAACATTATACATGATGGTGAGATGCTGAGTGTTTTCTTCCTACATTCATGATTAAGACAAAGATATCAGTTCTGTCCATTTATACTGAATATTATACTAGCAATTTTAGCCTAGGAAACTAGTCAAGAATTAAAAAGACATCAAGGTTGAAGAGGAAGTGGTAAAATTCTCTCTTTGCAGATGATATGGTCATGTATATATAAATTCTAAAGAAAACACAAACATTACTAGAGCTCATAAGGCTAGTAAGGCTGCAAGATATAATATAAATTTGTTTTTGTTTTGTTTTTTGTGACAAGGTCTTGCTCTATCAACCAGGCTGGAAGGCAGTGATACTGGATTGTGGCTCACTGCAGCCTTGAACTTCTGGCCTCAATAAATCCTCCCAGCTTGGCCTCCCAAAGTTGTGAGTTTACAGGCATAAGCTACGATGCCTTACGTTGAATTTTTAAAAAAGTGTTGTATTTCTATATCCTATCCATAAACAATCCAAAAATGAAATTAGAGAACAATTCCATTTACAATAGCATACAAAACAATACTTAGGAATAAATTTAACAACATAATTAGTGAATGGAAAGACATCTCATGTTCATAGATCAAAAGATTTAAAATTGTTAAGATGACAATACTTTCCAAATTGAATAGAATTGAGAGATTCAAGAAGCAAATTTCTACATTAATCCTCAATTGATTTTTGATAAATATCTATACAATTCAACAGAGAAAAGCATAATCTTTTGAAAAAGTGATATTGGAACAACTGTAGCTCTATGACTAAAATAATAAAATTGAACCCCTACTTCAGACAATATATGAAAATGAAATCAAAATGGATCATTGACCTAAAGGTAAGAGCTACCATTGTAAAGCTCTTGGAAGGAATCACAGAAGTAAAACTTGTCTTTGGATTAGACAATTTTGTCCTAGATATAATAGTAAAATAACATGTGGCAAGACAAAAAAGATAAATCTAGTTTCATCAAAATAAAAAAAAATGCTTCAAAAAGACACCATCGATAAAGCGAAAAGACAACCTGTGGAACAGAAGGAAATATCTGCAAATTATATATCAGATAAAATGTTACAGTCATGCCAATGCACCTCAACGTAGCAGTCTCTCCTTGTGATGTATCACCTGGAGTTCTTTGTGTCTCGACCAAGAGAATTAAGGAATGTGGACACAAAGGGTGAGGTTGGAGCAAAAGCTTAATAAGCCAAAGAAGAAAGCTCTCTGCTGCAGAAAGGGGGTCCGAAAGAGGGTTGCCGGTTTTATAGATGAATACAAAGGCTTATATAAGAACCTGTTTAGGGCTGGGCGTCTCATTTGCATAAGGTGCAAATTTCTGGTAGCTCCACCCCATCCTCCTAATGCACATGCAGGCCCTTAGCTTAAGTTACTCCATAGTGCTTTGTTCCCCTTCCAGTGCATGTGTCAGGGGACAGAATTTTCCATTGCAAGCATGTCTGGGCAAGTCACCTGCATTGCCTTTCTTATCTGTGTGGCTATGTGCATAGTTAGGCAAGCCCCCCATGCAAGTTTCCTTATCTGTGCCTGCTACTTGATTTTTTAGGCTATTCTTTTGTTTGAAAGAATTCAATCAAGGACCCAACCACTGTAACTGCCTGATCGACTGGTTTCCTCCTTTCTTCTCTATCAAAAAGACTTGTAGCCAGAATATATAAAAAAACACAACATAACAATAAAAAGACAAACAACTCAGTTTTAAAAATGGGCCAAGCAGTTGAATAGACACTTACCTAAAGAATACATATGAATGTTAATAGCGAGTATATATATTAATAAATTCTCTTAGTAGTCATTAAACTGCCTTAATATTATTTTCACTCTTTAATATTTAATTATTGAATATAGATTTCTGAACTGACCATTACTTTATTCAACTATTTCAAATATATTATTCTGATAACTTCTAGCTTCTGTATTTCAAGATGCTCTCATTACAATGTTTGTTCTCCTTTAAGTGGCCTATATTCTCTTTATAGGACTCTAATCTTTTTCATTATGCTTCCGTTACTACATGCATCCAGGGATGAATTTAGAATTATTTATCTTTTCCAGGATGCAGTGTGCTTTATTCTATCTTAAAATGTACTATTTTCTCATTTCAAAACAATTTTCAGGGTTTTTTTTTAATATACTTTTTTCAATATCTTTTCTTTGGAAGTTTTAGTTTTGTGAAAGAAAAAAACCAACCCTGATTTCTAACTCTTGTAAACAAAAAATTAAATTCTAAGGCCTTTCCTCTTGGCTAAGGGCATTCATTATACATTAACATCAACACAGCATTAACTTCAACACAGACTTTAAGTCTGATACGAAACATTTACAATCTATTCTGTCTGAAGTCTGCTACTTGGAGGCTTCATCTGCATGATAAAACCTTGGTCTCCACAACCCCTTATTGTTACCCAGACACTCCTTTCTACTGATAATAACTCTTTCAACCAATTATCAATCAGAAAATTTTTAATTCTACCTATGACTTGGAAGCCCCCACTTCGAGTTGTCCTGCCCTTCCAGATTGAACCAATGTGAATCTTACAGGTATTGATTGACGTATTATGTCTCCCTAAAATGTATAAAAGCTAGCTGTGCCCCAACCACCTTGGGCACCTGTCGTCAGGACCTCCTGAGGCTGTGTCATGGATGTGTCCTTAACCTTGGCAAAATGAACTTTCTAAATTGATTGAGACTTGTTGCAGATACTTTCTGTCTCACAAATTGGTAACCACAGAGGGATTCTGAGTGGAGGTTCTGAGATTTGGCAAATCTCCTATCAGTGCTTAGCATCACCTTGAGCCATCCTTGTGGCTAAAACCAATAGGACAATTTGCTGAGGCCTGGGAGTTCCCCTCCCTCCAGAGAATCCCTAATCTCCCAAAATTTGGTTGAGATCCAATGTTTATTTTGCTGTATGATTCTTTTTCTGGAGTTTTATTTGCTTCCAACAAAAAAAGGCAAATTTTCCTGCTTCCCATGATGATGGAAGACAGGTAAATCCTTTTGGAGTTTCAGCTCACTTCCAACAGGGAAGGCGCGTTTCAGTTTTTTCCTGCTTCTAGGAAGGTAGAGAGCAGTCTTTAGCTGGGACCCCAATCCTAGGTAAGTAGCTGAATTGGGGCTTTTTTGGTCTTGGAAATTCTCCTAAATGACTAAAGGTTGAAACTGACAACCAGGTGGTCTTAATTTCTCCTTACCTTTAGAGCACTCAGTAATCATATTGTTGGGGTTCTTTTTGTTGTTCTGGTCTTTCTCTCATCAGATTTGACCAACTGTGCTTAACTTGGTCAAGTCCAAATGTGAATTCCAATTTATGGGGAACAAGACCTTTGAATTGGCAATATTCCTTGCAGCTGCAAAACAAAACAAAATGAAGCAAAAACCAAACAAACAAATGAACAAAAAACCATGTACTTGGTTTCTGTGTTTGTGTCCTGTCCTTAAAAAAAAGTGTTCTTTTGTTTACATTTATTTCACTCTATTCTTCCTTCCCTCTTCACTGTGTTTGGTACCAAGAAAAATCTGGAGAAGGCTTCTAATGTCTCAAACTCCAAACCAAAGGCACCATTCATTCCTTTTTGGGGTGTTCTCTTTTTTTATGGTGTTTCAAGTGTAACAGCATGAAAGCTTTGGTTTCCTGCATTGCATTACCTGACCTCTTTGGCTTTTCAGGGGACTAGAGATTACCGAGTACCATGAGAGGATTTGACTTTGGTGTGTGTTACGATGGATGAGAGAGCTACAAAATTAGGGGTGACTGAAGACAGTTTGCAGGAAGTGGTCTTATCTATTTTTTTTTCCTTCTAGGAAGTTGTTTGGATCCTAATTCTACTTTGGAGGTGCATTTTAGAGTCTTCTCTATTGCTCTTTCTTCCAAAATTAATCTCAATTGGCTTGCCTGCACATTTGTGTGAGGAACTGAACTGTCATTTTCATAATTAAATGAGACACTGAGTTTCCTCAGCTCTGAAGAGGAAGGGCATTTCACTCCCCCCAGCCAAAAGGTGCCCCTGGGAGACTGGGAACCAAGTGGGAATGTTTGGGGGCTGACCCCCCCATGATGTGCAGTGGCCCTACAGGGAACCCCCAACAAAATTAGTTTAAAAGGCTCATCGAGGAAGCACACACAGGATCTTTGTCTCTCTGTGCTTTGAGCCCCCCAGAGGTGCTAGACCTCCAGAGAGAGAAACTGAGGCACGTAACAGGGCAGAAATGACTTGGTGGTGACATACTGTGGAACCCTGCCCACAATCAGCACATTTCAATCCACCACACTAAATTCTAGGCCCCAACCCACTTCCTCCTTTTAAGAAAAAATGTGGGAAATGAATCATGTAAGAATGAGGAACAACATGGAGAACGGTCCCTCTCAGCCACTCTGGTTTTATGGTGCCTCTACCTGCAAGCGGTTATGTAAATGGAAGGGCATGCCAGGTTTCCTAGCACTCCAGCTGGTCACACGTTAAGTCTGCTCTTGTGCACATTTTAAACTGAGGGGCAAATTACACCAAGGAGCATTCAGAGCCCAAAGGTCGACCTGCAACTATTATGCTCCTAAATTCTCTTTCTGGTTTCTTTTCTGCCTGCTTTAAGTCAGCTGCTACTTTTCTACTGAGCTAAAATCCACTATTTACATCTAACCATTTAGTTTTGCAAACCAGTGAGTTTTATATTGATATCTCATGGCTAGAGTTCTGAAATAAAATCTAAAGGATTTTTGTTTGTGTGAGTGTGAGTGTGTGTGTGTACCTACACATATTTTGTTATGTTTTTGGCCACATGGTACCAAATTGGCTTAAACTTAAAAGTACTCATAAATTAAATAATAAGCCCAAATGCTTTTCAAATTCACATGACTTAAGTAAAATCTTTAATAAATAAGCCGGTTTTAAAATTATTGATAAAGTAATATCAGAAATGTCTTAAGAATTGTCAGCATACTTTTGTGTTTGCATTCATTGATCAAATGATTTCATACTTATCCCTGGCAAATACTATAAGGTATCAGACTTTGATATAAGGGTTAGAAAACTATAAATCCAGCCAAAACCAGAATAATCTTTGCTCATGTAATTTTTAATAAATAAGATATTAATAGTGTTAGTTTAATGAAAACAGCTAAATCTTGAATTACTGGTAAAATAAACATATTCTTAACCTTAAAGTTCTTACTTGGGTAATAACCTAAAATTCACAGGCTATAAAAATGTTTCATAGGAAAAGTAACTTTGATCACTATCACAGTTTTCATAAATAATGTAGGTAAACTACTAAAATAAAATAATTAGATATATGTGATGGAATAGATACTTATAAACAAACTTGTCATAATTTATAATCTAAAGTTATATGAAATTAAATAAGATATTTTATTAAATATTTGGGTGTTTTCCAATTAAATTATATTGTAGGAAAACATTCTAATAAATATGTTCTTATTGAAAGGTAAATAATTTTTGTCTAATTCAAAGCTTAAAGGTTATGTATAAAATAATGTAAAAGGAACTAGGAAACAAGAGAGATATAAACAATGTTATAGAGATAAAGAGATATTTTTGGTAAGAAAGCTTAAAGAAAAGTAACTTTATATGAGAAAGAGTCTTGTATAGTGAATTTTTGTCCTAAAATAAAATACTGGGTTGTTCAAAAAAGAGGAATATTTAGGACAAGTGAGAAAGTCCATGCATGGTGGGAATGCTGTAAGTCATAATAAGGTTAGTAAAAAAGGAATTTATATAAATGTTATGTGATTAATTGGTTATAATTAATGGAAATTATAATAGTTTTTCTAAAAATTGAACTTTGATATTAAAACACACTCACACAAAAATAAGGAATTGGTAAAAAAGAGATTTTATTAAAGATATTGAGTTGAATAACTCATTGGGTATGCAAGAAGTTTTTAATTTTTAAATTCTATTACCTGTTTTTTTTGAAAGTATTCATATTGATATCTCAGAAGATGTACCCTGTTGCTTCAGTTCCTTGTCTCTTTTGAGAAGGCCTGGGATGGTAACTCTCTCCTTTAATTTTTGTTGTAACTTTTAAAAATTAATACTCTAAAGTAAGGGAGATAATATTTGAAAATAGGCAAATAAATCTTTTGAATCTGTTTTTGTCTGATGTTTGTTGTATCTATATGTTTATGTGTGTCATGTGGAAGTGATATTTTAGGATTAAACTGTATGAAAGAGCTATAATCAATTGACTTAAAGAAAAGTAAGGGCTTATCAGACTCATGGAAGCTAGCTCAGGTCTCTTTTAACTCACATGACTTCGGTAATCTTCAGTAAGATTAATTTGGTAAATTTAATCTCAAAATTATCTCCAATAGTTTAAAATCTTGAAGTCATGTTATGTTAAATTAAAACCTCGTTTTTAACCATGGTGGCTCACGCCTGTAATCCCAGCACTTTGGGAGGCCAAGGAGGGTGGATCACCTGAGGTCAGGAGTTCGAGACTTTGACTGACGAACATGGTGAAACCCCATCTCTACTAAAAAAAATACAAAAATTAGCCAGGCGTGGTGGTAGGTGCCTATAATCCCAGCTGCTCAGGAGGCTGAGACAGGAGAATCACTTGAACTTGGGAGGTGGAGGTTACAATAAGCCGAGATCTCACCACGGCACTCCAGCCTGGGTGACAGAGTGAGACTCCGTCTAAAAAAAAAAAAAAAAAAAAAAACATAAAACAAAAAGCAAAGAAAAAAAAACTCATTTTTTTTTTCCTCACTGGGAATTTTGGTCACCAAGAAGTAAAATAGTAGGAGCATAAAAAGTATTTTTGGTGACGTTTATAAAACACAAGGATGTGGATTTTGCTAAAGGAAATGTAATTTTTTTCTAGTTAAGAAACTAAGAATTTCCTTACAATAAAGGAGAAATTGTACAGATAAAGCTAAATAGATAAAAAGAAAAATTAAGCCAGGGCTACAAAAGTTACCTCTGAGACATGACGTGGTTACCAAGAAGACAGTCAATATGAGGGGAAGGGCAAAACCAAGTAACTGTCAAAACAAAGGGTATAATATAAAGGAATTGTTTCATTTTGTAGATTGGTAAAATCAGCTTCTTGAGAAATCTTCACTACAATGAATTGTAAAAATAACTACTTTAAGGACAAAATCCTTAATTTTAAATGCTAGAGAATGAAAGAGCTTATTTGGGTTGATGCAGGGCCCACAGTTTACTACTGAGCAATCACTGATGAGTTTATGTGATCCAAATGCACAGGAGGTTATTTCTGACTGAACAAACAACCTGGTGGGCTGGATAAATGCCATTGTAAGGTCTGTTTGCCCTGAAAGGGGACTGCCTGACTCTTTCTATAAAATATAAGTGAAACACTAGAGATGAAGCAGTTGATATGCTTCACATGCAAGCCACGTGGAACTGACTCTATGATGGCCAGGATATTCTCCCATCGAATATGCTTATTACCCAGATCATGGTAAATTTGAGTGTTGGGGAGGGCCTTTTACATGGGCACCCCTCCTGCAGAATCATACGACTGTTTGAGAAGCGTTATCAAATTTACTGTTCCTGATGGGTCTTACAGATGCTTAATCAAATATTGGAGTAATTAACAAAAATAAAGTGGGGGTGGAAATTGGAGGAAAAAGGGAGTTAAAGGACTTGCCCCAGAAGGGTGATGGAAACTTTTGGATGATTATTCACTATTTGCCCCAGATTTGGAAAATATAAAAAAAATTTAAAGGCAAATGTTATCATGAGATAGGTTATGCTGCCTGGGGCAATGTAGAAGCAAATAAGATAAAGATTCACCAAAGGGTCTGAGTCTTTTGGCCTGTCCCCTGCTGGGAACCCAAATCTTTTTGATGTAGGCCCTTGCTACCTGGGAAATGCAAGAATGAGAATACTTATAAGCAGAGGGCTTCTTTTTTCCCCTAGGAAGGACTCCAACTATGTGAAGAGCTGCTAGATTCTACAGTGCCTAATAGACAAGTCTCATCTAACAAGAGCTGTTTGGCTTGTGGATAGCAGTTCCAAAGTGAACAAACAGCATCCTGTTTGAAAGCCACTGCTCTGGTTAAAGAAGAGTCAAGCAAATTTTTTTCTTGTGAGTTATTTATAGTTTAGAGCAATTGGATAAGGTATATTTTTGTGAGCAAATTTACTTTTCTTTCTGGGTTCTCCAAAATTTGGAAACTGTTCATGAGTATTCTGATTTTATGACAATATAGTTATTTGCCTAAATTTAGTAGGAGTCTTTTCTTTTACAACACGACAAATGGAGACACAGTTTATTTTACCAAGGCTTTGACTATCACAACAAATTCTTAGGTAAAGTTTCAGCAAAGTCAAATTAATAGCAGCCTATAAGGCCAATCAATTCTTGTTGCACTTTATGTGAATAATCAAGCCAAATATAATAAGCCTAAAACTTATTTCATACATAATTTTTCTTTAATAGAAAAGGAGGGCTAGATAGAAATTGTTTCAAAGGAAAAGTGTAACACTTGTTACTAAATTTCAGCCCTGACTTGTTTCTGAGTGCGGACCGAATCATTAATTATTTCTTGGCTACAATAGTCTTCTAAAGAGTACCAGATTATCATTTTTCACCATATTTTTAGTTGGTGCCCCAATGGAATAGGTTCCTTTTTCTGTTCTGACACACAAATACTCTTTTGATTATCAAAATAGTAATGTTATTTATCTCTCCTAGTTTTAAATCCAAGGAAACCAGAATCATGAAATTGTAAGGGCCATTTCTGAGGAATAGAATTAGCTCAGACTCTCCGAATCAAGACTGGGTACACAGATGCCTAAACAGCTGGTAAAACAAGGGACTTTGACTTCTGAGCTATTATGTGGCACCATTTCCCTAAAGAATTCAGGCACTGCAACTCTGAAGAATTTCCTGCTTTTGATACAAGTAGTTAGACAGGCACGAACCACCAGGAATATTGGGTGATGTTTTGGCAATTACCACATTGCCTATCTAAATGTGATAAATTGGCAGCTGGTGCCAGGGAGAGGCCATTTCCTGATGGTCCACACCTGTTGCACTAAAGTGTTAATTGAATCCAGATGCCAGGGAGAAGCAACTTCCCGGGCATGTGGAATAAGAGACAAAATGGCGAAATATGACCTTACGAGGTCACACCACTGAAAAAGGGAAGAAAGCCTCAGATGGGCATGCACGCAACTTCCTAAACACACTGCACATGCTCACCTCCCAAGAGTAAGGAGGGAACTGCACATGTGGGCAGTGCACCCTAAGGGAAGAATCATGGGAAAGGGGCCACCCTCTAAAGTCCTAGGATCAAGGCTAACCACCGCACATGTTCTTCAAGTCACCTGCTTGGGTCTCTTCCAAGCATACTTTCTTTTCTTTCTTATTCTAAAGACTTTTTAAATAAACTCCCACTCCTGCTCTGAAACTTGCCTTGCTCTCTTTTTCTGTGTTATGCCCTTGAGTTGAATTCTTTCTTTTAAGGAGGCAACAATTGAGGTTGCTGCAGCCCCCATGGATTCATCGCTGGTAACTCGGATACCTTCTACCGGTAATACTTCCTGTAGAATTAAAATAAAATAATTACTGATAGGATAAAGATACCTCATGACAAAGCCTCCTGAGTATAATACTCCCCATTATGAGTTGCGCAGATACATACATATTAAAATTTTTTTTCAGAACAATGCTTATGTTTTGTATAGCTAATTGCTATCAGTCTGTAACTAAAACCAAGATTATAGTAGTTCAATGCATAGAAGTTAAAGACAAATCAATTTTGTAACCTCACCTTTGGCTTTTTTTTGTTGACTTTTTGCTTAAAAACATATTGTTTAAGAGGTAGTAAATGCTTGCTCACATCCATTCCTATCTGGCCCAGTACATTTAATTGGCAATGTCTTTTGACTCTAAGTTCATTGGCCATAGGGAATTCCATCAAGAGACAGGATGGACCCAGGGCAGGCAACCAAGCTACCCCAGCAACTCTACGGGACAAGAAAAAAATTTGGTGGCCATTGATATTGCCTCTGGCAAATTTTGGCCAGAAAAGGGACAATGTAATCCAAAAATAAGATTCTCAAGCCCCCCAACCTTCTGAATGAACCTCTTTTCTTGGCCAAGGGCATTCCAGAGTTTACTTGAAAATCTAGTTCAGGCCATGATAGAGCTAACATCATGTTAGTCCCAAGATGGCATCCAATCAAGGGTTGGACATGCCTCATTATACCACCCCAGCATTTACATTAACACAGACCTTAAGTCTGATAAAGAACATTTGTAATCTCTTCTCTCTGAAGCCTGGCTCCTGGAGGCTTCACCTGCATGATAAAATCTTGGTCTCCACAACCCCTAATTGTTACCCAGACATTCCTTTCTACTGATAACTCTTTAAACCAGCTGCCATTCAGAATATGTTTAAATCTACCTATGACTTGGAAGCCCCCACTTTGAGTTGTCCTGCCCTTCTAGATTGAACCAATGTAAATCTTGCACGTATTGATTGATGTCTTATGTCTCCCTAAAATGTATAAAAGCAAACTGTGTCCCGTCTACCTTGGGCACATGTCATTAGGACCTCCTGAGGCTGTGTCATGGGCATGTCCTTAACCTTGGCAAAATAAACTTTCTAAATTGATTGAGCCTTGTCTCAGATACTTTTTGGTTCACACTCTCTAACAGGCATGGATCATGCAGTTTGAATTACTAATCTATGTGGTCATGGCAATCCCAGCCACTGAGCTATTTCTGTTTTTTTTATAACTCTGAGAAGTGTAGATCCATCTCTGACTAGTTTTCCTCTTGCCTTATGATATATTTTCTCCTTATCTGACACTGGAAATTTGCTTTATTTGGTTGACATTTATGTGTGTGTGTAAAGAGTAATTTCCACATGACCTTTGTCTATCACATGGATTTCCAATTGTTTTTCCCATCTGAATGCTTCTACTCATCTTTCAATACTCCGTCATCGCTTGATTTCACGAGGATGAGGATAGCCATCTCTGGCCATGTGCTTGACATAGGCTGTGTTTTTGAGCCCCTCCTCTTGTTCCCATGGGTCATTGTGTGTACTTCTAGTAGTCCACTATATCAACATTACAATTTATTATTTTAGCTTGTCTGCACTACCAAATTGTATTTTGCCTGGAATTAAAAAAGAAATATTTGCTATCTTTTCAAACATTGTATTTTCTTTATTACATATGTGAAACTCAGGTTTATATATATTTTAAATTCCTAGCATAACTAATGATAAATTGTTTGCAAGTAATATCCTATCTTGAGAAAAATTAAGATGTTGACATTATAATGTCATATCTCCACAATAATCTTTGTTTTCCTCTAGGCACTCAATCTCTCAGGGATGCAGTAAAAGACCCTTCATGAAGGACAGCCTCAACTTCCAGATCAATTTAACTTCAAAGCCTCTGACATTGGTTATTTCTCAAGAGCTGTGATTTTTTCTTCTGTTGCAGCCATAGTTGGTCTAAAGGTAATAATTTCCTGGGCAGGAATCCAATTCTGTAACCATCTCTGTCAGCATGCCGATTTTGTATTGTACCTCCAAGACTCATCAACATAAGCTCAGATAGTTCTACCATAATACTTATATGTGCTCTTAAGCTAAAGCATCAGAAACAAAATTAACAATTAAAAACCTACATTAATTTGCTGATATAAGCATTTTAAAACTTACTGACACAAATAATTATTTGTGTATATCATGCAGCTTTGCCTCTTATTTTGCCTGTCAAAATCTCTTCATGGAGAATCATACTTCTCTTTTCTTTGCTAGTGAATAGTATTATTCATTTCATTTCCCTCTCTATACAGAGCACTGCCCTTACTTTTGTGGTCGTTAGTAAAGATAAATAAAGCATAGTAAGAGACGATTGAAAGGAATTTCCAAGAGGTGGTATATTTGAATACAAATACCTATGCTAAGGAAGTGAAAAAAGGATAAGATGGTAGAGAAAAATAAAGACAAAGATCACAGAAAAGGATGATCATTGATTAAACCTGACTTGGGGCCCATAAAGACTACCAGTGATTAGAGTCTACAAAATCACATACGCATGTGGCCACATAGAACGTGAACTCAATAATTGCATTAATAATATTTAGAAATATTCATTTCCAAAGATGTAAATGTTTTTGTTTCTCTTGAACACATTGTAGCAGAGGACTTCATGGGGAGTCTAAACAAAGAGACATGGGTGACCTCAAGGAAGCATTTGGACAAGTGGAATGAGATTCTGTTTTCCTTCATGTTTACCTTATTTATTTATACATTTAAAGGTTATGCCCTTTTCCTATTTGCAGGACAAAAATCCACACAAATACAAGGCACACTAGTGATGTTAAACTGGGCATTATTTATGCCACAATTAAAAGAAAATTAAGTGCTCTGGAAACTGAGTGTTATAGTTTTAGATATTTATGGGCAAAAGTTTAAGATTTGCGTAAAATTTTTAAATGAGTATGACATACTAATATGTCCCTCTTTTTCTTGCCAAGAGATTATGGGTGATATATACTGTGAGCATATCTGCATATGCCAAACACAGTAATTCAGAATTTTACTTTGTAGTGAAGGTTCAAGTAAAATAGATCTCTTTTGATGAGACGTACTACACACCCTGCATCTTTTGCCTGGGAAAATTTTTTACTCTTATGAGCTATATTTGGATTTTGGGGCTGCTCATAAAACAAAATAAATAAAATGACTATTTTAAAGCCAGTTTCATAGAGTGACCATTAACAATTTATCAAATATACAGCAAGGCAATTTAAATTTTATTTCCAATTTCAAGTTGTTAATTTGAAGATAAAGCCTACTAGAATGTAAAAATTGAAAAATATCAAATTCACAAATTACTTTTCATGATCCAAGTGTTCTTCTCATATATAGTTGACGTTATGATTCATGAATTTCTCTCAAATATTACTGATGCAATTATTGAGTTCATGTTGTGTGTGGCCACAAGTGTATGTGATTTTGTGGACTCTCATCACTTGTAGTCTTTATGGGGCCCAAGCCAGGTTTAATCAACAATCATCATTTGAGAGAAAATCATTTATTATGGGTCTGGAGGTACAAATTGTTTATAATATGGGAGTTCCCCACATCTAGTTATACATGCAATGTGTAATTCTCATGTCTTAATATTTCTTACACTTGGAGCTGGTAATTTGACTATAAAGTACGTGCAGATTGAATGAGCACATATGTATAACTTTTCTTCCATCTAAAATCCCTTTTGAATTGCAAACACTGAAAAGCCTCAAAGACTTCCTGAGTAGAGGACGTGGAGCTAGAGTCGACCAAGATCAAGTTGGCTAGGGTCAATGAGACTAAGAGTACTAGAGGGGAGAGGACTGCATGGAGGGAGCCCCTCAAGTATTCAACTAAGTGCTGATCAATGTGGGAGAAAACTATCCCCTAGACTGGAGAAATACCCAACTGAAAAGATAAGCAGGAAGATCATCTGAAGTTCACACAGGGGTTAAATAGTGGGCCTAAATAGTATAACTGGCAACGAGGAGAAATCTGTGTAAGTAAAAGGAAAACACATCAGAGATATTAATACTTACCAATCAAGTCTTTCATTTGTTAGTGTTAACAGATGTCCAAAAATTACAACTACTAAAAAAAAAGCATGAATAGTAAACAAAAAAGATTAAACACACGTAACAAAAAAGGAAATTAAAATCAGTAGAATTAATATTTAGAGAGAGAGAGAGTGAATAGAAGAAATATCACATCTAAAAAACAAGAACAAGCTGTTATACACAAGAAATAACCATCAGTCTGGAAAATATATATGACTGATTAAAAAAATCAGTAAAATAGCTAAATAACACCAGCTATATGTCTGAAGACTTAATACAGATCAAGCATGGTGTGGGGAAATCATATAAATAGTAATTGAAGGGGCTTATTGATACATATGTGCCAAATTCCTCTGTTAAAAGACAATGAGAGAATTCTGGTATAGTGACAGTGTCATAAAACTCTGACTTTCCACCTTTTTCCTAGAAAACATTTAAAAGCAGTGAAGATGATGTAAAATAAAAACACAAATTTAATTAGTGCTGAAACTAGGAAACATTTAAAATTCCAAACTCTAAATGCACAAAACTGCCAAAAGCCAGTGGAAATTGAAAAAGAAGTTCTGTAAAAGCAATCAGGAGAAGACATTGTGGCTGATGATTCTTGGAGGGCAGGTGTATACCCGAGATGCAACATCAAAATTATCATTTACAATAACAAACTAGGGTCCAACAGCTGGCAGCAGAAGTGTCCTTGGACTCAGTTTGATTCCCAAGAGCAGAAGAGGGGGAGCTAAAGGACACATAGACAAAGCAGATATGCAAAAGCCTGTCTTTTGCTGAGGCCACAAGGAAGAAATGAGGATTCACATTGAAAACCTCTTCAGCTCCGAATATATCCCTATACTCACTGCTTCTTTCACATTAACCAAGTCTCAGTCATGTGAAAATCTAGCTTATATTTTGCTACTATAAACTCTTAGAACACAGCTGTCCAGCATGGGCATCCTCACTACTGATATCAGGAGCTAGCCAGTCCACCTCTTGTTTTTTAACCTGTGAGACTCACAGGAGTCCACTGTGTGTGCCTTTTGCCCCTATCTCAAGCTGCACAGGAAAAGTTTCACAGTAATCCCTTAGATTGAGCTCAGTGAAGCCTCTCTCCTTGACTTGAGATAGTAAGAAATATCTTCATTACTCCTAATTATTTTTTGATTAGGGGGAGTGGGATTTGCAAGACACCAACAAATCAGTACAGAGAAATCTTCCTTATAGAGTAGTCTTCCTGCAATCATTCTGCCTCTAACACTCACAATCTTAATTTAGCAATAAAGAGTTTTTGAAATAATCAATAGATAGGATACTTGTATTTCTGGTAAATACAAGGAAAAGAACAAAAGTAGGATGCTATGGTCTATTAAGGAAGATTGGTGAATTTATGTGCTCCGCTGTTCTCCTTGTCTGCCATCAACTCTTACATTAGTTGCTCTTTATAATTTTTAAAATCTTTGCCCTTTTTATGGAACCTCTATACCTTCCCCTATAAGTATGTCATTACACCAAATGCTGTCAGATCCGATTTTCTCATTTGGCATTTGAGTTCCTTGTTTATTAGAACTTCTGCTAAAACAGCAACAGAAAAGTAAACATGAAAGGAAATTTTAACATAAATCCCCTGCAAATGTGCAACATTAAACTCTTTATCCAGAAACAGCATAGGGCATTAGGAAAACACAAAAGTCTTGGTGGCAACACAGATGTGATGGGCAGTATAGTTGCCTTCTGACATCCATTCAGTACCATTGGGTAGCAGCAGCATAATTTAAATAGATCAACCCTTTCCTCCTTTCCACATCTGCAACTCACAAGGCTTGGTTTAGGCTGATCATCCCATGAACATCTAAGATTATCAGTATGCAGTCTGCACATACTGAGCGTTTCAGGGTTGGTGTACACCTTAAGTTAGTCTGGAGTGAAGCTAATGGCTTTGGTGTAGGTGTTGAATAGTATAATCTTAGGAACTCCTAGCATTCATCTTGTGGTCATTTGAGGGCACTAATCTTAAAATGAAACTGATAATTTAGGAGGCAGAAGTAGGTCTTCAGTGATATCATCTACCTGATGAGTCAAATTCCATATTTCTCTAAAATTTATTATTCTAGGAGTCAGAACTTAATCCCTTTAGCTTCAAATTGGTTTTCTGTTACTTCAGATTAAAAGTACCATGTCAAACTAGTTTCCCAGGTACTACAGCTAGCCTAGAGGTTGGTTGATTATAGGTCTATCTGGCAGTAATAATTATTAAAGATGAGCTGAAACCAATACTCAGTTACTGATATTTCTGTATCTACAAGGGTGGTGTGGTTTAAAATGTAGGAAGGACACACAAACAATTGATAGTCTAATAACTATGAAATTTAAAATTGGTTCAGAGCCAAGACCTTGGACAGTTGGAAAAAGAAAATAAATAAACAACATATGATTTTTGAAAAATAAGGTGTATGGTATTTTGTTTGAGATTACCTCCCTATTCCAGAATGAGTAAATTAGAAATTTTATATAACACTCTCAAGATCATTTAGTGGAAAAGTAGATCAAAGATTCAAATTCATGTCTCTCAAGCCAAAAAGACTCTGCTCTTCTGATAATATCATTTTACCTTCTGTATAATGAGTTCCCTAAAACTGGGACTATCCAAGTTCTCATTAACAAATATATATCAAGGCTGCATAGAAGTGATTCTCACATCAATTATATACCTAATGGCATTCCAGCTGTGAGATGCTATGATTCTATTTTAGTTTCTTGTGGGTTACCAGGCAGGTATCGAAGGTAGTTTCAGTATTGTCCCCTGAAATAGCCTTTTATCATATATTTAATGATTCCTGTCATAATGTATTTTACCAGAATAGAAGAAAAAGATCAGATGTAGAATGATATGATCTATTAAGGAAGACTTGTGAGTTTGTGGACTTTTTTGTTCTTCTTGCCTGTCATTAACTCTTACATAAGTTGCTCTTCATGAATTTTTTTCTCTTTGCCTTTCTTTGGATCCTCTATACCTTCTCCTATAAATATGTCATTACACCAGATGTTGTCAAATCTGATTTTCTTATTTGGCATTTGAGTTCCTTGTTTATTAGAACTGCTGCCAACACAGCAAAATTCAGAGTAATCTTTCAGGTTTGAATTGCCCATATGCAATTTGGACAGCATGTGGATTATGCTTAGTGTAGACTGTGACATGAATTCAGTTTCTTTGAAGTTAATTGTCAGCTCTTACAGCTATAGTGACTGCAGAATAGTCAGCAAAATGCTGCAATCACCACCATTAAGAAATTTTGAATGACTGCCTTTAGATGCTGCATAAAGCTTATTGATGTGGGGGAAAAAGATCATTTTGGAATACTGAACATTTATCATGGTACTATTGCCAAGTTTCTAATTATATCTTAAGGCATGCCTTTGTGAAAGAAACTCCACAGAACTGAATCTACTGTCAAATTCCACTGATGTTGTTAACAAGAAATGACAGAGCAGCATCAAGGCTAACATGCCTACCGTCCATTGGCATTACTAATAATTCAATAAACTTTATTATTAAGTAACTTACATATAAACGACTAAAGGGAGAGCAGATAAATTCTGACATACAATAACTGAGTAGGGAGGAAACTGTCAGCCCCAAGAGAAAAGCTCTGTCCATTATATAATGATAACACTGTCTACAGTTATTACAGTGAATAGACAGGCTGAGCTGAAGACACAGCTGCTGTCAGATCTACAGGAGCTACTCAGAAAATACAGCAGTAATTGTGAGACCAAGTACTAGCAAGAGAACTAGATGTCAATACTACAAGCTTTTGAAGTAACAACACTTTTATGAAATGTCAACTCATAGAGAACTCGTTGCACTTTTTAACTTCTAAATGCCATTTCTCTAAGAAATTTTGTTTGCATGCATGTCATCTGATATATGGCCTTGTGTCCAGTGATTTGGTCATCGCCTGATACCTCACCTTAAGCAATTCATCCTAAACCAGTGATTGATATTTGTCTATAATTCTCTTCTCATCTATACTTACAAATTTTTATATTTTGACCATATGACTCAAGTGTATATGATAAGGAGCTGACGAACTTTTGTGTCTATATGTAAATTCCATTTGATAATGGCAGTGTTCCATTTCCAATGCTTATTCAGAGCTTAAAAGTGCCAGGTTATTGCATTAAATCTTTCACCCTACTTGTGAATTAGACCTTATATTCCTTGTTGTTGGATGAGAAAGCTGACAATTGAGTTAACAACTCAAGTAAGGATAAACTACTAAAATAAGTGGACGATCTATTAAGTGCCAAATTTCACAACCTGTCTTTTTAATATCATGCTGGCTTCCAGCAAAATGGCCTCCATTTCCTGCAGAACATGCATTCTAGATACTAATTTGTCAGTGCACAGAATTTCAAAAGAAGAGAATATATGGAATCAATCTGTCTTTGCATCATTTCTCTTCACTTGGTGAATTAGCTGATAAAATTGCAGGGTAGTTTTTAAAAAATGAGTAATGCTAGTATCTTTTCCACAGACATAATAGGAAATTCTATAATCCTGTAATAAATATCTATCCTCTAATTGTATCTTTATTCCTCTAATTGTATCTTTATGACATTACCTCATTTTAGTATGTGTTGGTCTATGAAAATAATCTGCAATGTGAGGGCAAGAGGAAAAGTGGCTGGGGCAGAACAGCCTACTTTTAAAATTACATTTTAAAAGGTAGAGATGAATGTAATTGCAATTAAATCCAGACAAAAATATGAAGAATAAATAGAAATAAAATCAGTTACACAGCAGATGACTTGAAAAGTCTCAGAATGGGAAGTAAAAAATAAAGACAACGAAATTACAGATTAAATTTCCAGTTTAAGGCCAAGCCTCCAATGGCAGTCCAGACTGCAAACCCTGTGCCTTCTCAGTGATTAATTTCTTGGCTTCCATTAGTTTCATCTTCTTCTGTGTCCTTGCCACCATCCTCTAAACCTGCGTAAGACTCTCCAACTTAAAATGTGACTCAGTCGTTGCCATGGATCATAGCATCAGTGCCAGCCCCTTGCCTGTCCTTGTTATCATTTACCCAATCACTTTTACACTCATCACTGGACTCTCACATCACTGAAAAAGCTTTGCCACAGGCATCAATTACTTTGATGTCTCTAACTAAATATTTTAAAGTCTTATCATACTTAGCTTCTGTCTGCACTTGCCGTCATGAACCATTCAGACTTTAAAGCATTGTCCTCCCTTAACTTCACTGGGGCCAGTCCTCCTGGAGTGCCTCCTGCAGCACAGGCTGGTCTCTTTCAGTCTCTTTTGGGATTTCTCTTTTGGCATCCATCTTAAAGTTTGGAGTTCCTCGTGCCTCTGTCATAGCCTTCTCATCTCACATGACACACGCTCTTCGAACATGTATATCTCATTCAGTGACCTCAGTTCCCAATCATATGCCCATGACTCATTTACATAGTCGACACAGGCTTGTTGCGAACCTGCTATGGGCCAGCCTCATTGGCACTCCTGAGTCCAGAGCCATATGTCTATGAGGAATTTCAGCACATCATATTTCACAAATCAAGTCTTATCATCTTTTCTACCAAGTCTGCCCTTGTTGAGGCTATCCTGTTTCAGAAAATGCCTTGACAGTTGACTGATTGCTGTAGGGGTTGTTAAATGTTGCCATTGTCTCTCATTAGCCTTCTAAAAAATCTCTCTTCACATCTAATATTTGCTCCCACGAAATCTAATTTCTTATCTTCCAAAGTAATGTTCTTTCATAGATGAAAATCTAATTATGCAACTTACACTCTTAAAATTCTTCGATGATTTCAATGAAATTGACCTTAAGATGAAGACTCAGCTTTTTGGAGTGGCATGCAGTCATGTGAATGTGTGGACCCATTCCTCCGTTTATGCTTGTCTGATGATTTCACACTCTCCTTCGTGCTCAGCCACATTGGACTATTTTATCCATTCAAGGAACCAGGCCATCTCACAGTCAAATTTTAGTATTTTCATAATATCACTTTGCATGTCTAAAGTATGTTCCCAGTATTTTCTTTGTTTTTTGTATCATAATTGGAGTTCTTTTCTCTACTGGAATTTCTATTTTTACATATATAAGGTGATATATTTAAGGGACACAGTTAGTTGCAGAGAAAAAGGATAATTTATTCAGTTATTTTGAGGCTGTTTGTGCAGAAAATGGAATTTGATATGGGCCTCAAGAATGTTAAGGGTTTTAACAGAAGTAAACTGGAGGAGAGGGCCTTAGAGAAAAGATGAAAAGCCTGGAGTGGATAATGTAAAGGAGAGAGCAGGGAGTTTGCTTTAGTCTGCATAAAAGTGATGTATGTGAGGGTGAGGTTGAAAAGATGAGGGATGGTGGCAAAGATCCTAGAATTGTGAAAGTGAGCTTGAATTCTTGATAGTTGACATAACTTTTCATTTTTCTCTTAGTAAGAAATAATTGGAATTTTTTGAAAATACTGTGAGCTTTATTTTAACAGTTTATTGAAGTATAATTGATATACAAAGAACTTCACATATTGAATGTGCACAATTTGATGAATTTGTACATATGCAGACATTCATGATACAATTTTCATGATCAAGAAGGGAGACACATGCAAGTCCCCCATGCCTCCAAAGTTGCCTTGCATCATTTTTGAAGTGTACAATATCACGTTGTTAACTATAGGCACTATGCTGCCCAGCAAGTCTCTAGAATTTATTCACCTAGCATAGCTGAACCTTGAGACTCACTGAGCAGCTACCCGGTTCCCCCAGGCCCCAGGCCCTGGCAACCACAGCCAGGGTTTACATTCACTGCTTCCATGAGTTTGACTGTTATAGAGACCTCATGTAAGTGAACTAGAATCTCTGTTGTCAATAATCGTCAGGTGAGTCTAACCAACTATGATGTGTCCCATTCATAGTTTACACAACTTCTATATTGCAATATCTTTCCAAGAAAGAGATAAAATGTTACATGTTTTTGTGTGCTGATACCATAAAGTATAATACAATACCCTTACTTTCATATAAAGTTTCCATTTCTCATTAGAAATTAAAGAGAGTAGACCTAATTTTGTGGTGTTTAGTTTCAAAATCTGACTTTTACCATATCACAGCACATTATACCATGTCATATATCATATCATCATGCACAAACACAAAATTTCATCTCTTTCGTGGAAAGACATTGAGATAGGAAAGTTGTGCAAAGCGTGAAGGTGCACCATCACAGTCAATTATTGGTACCTAACACTTATCAACCCATAGAGATTCTTCTCGCCTTTCCTCAGTACCACTTCCTGTCTGTATTGATCTCCCTTTGCCACAGGATAACATTTTCTCTCCTGCCGTTCTTCTCCTTTATTACTTGTTCCCTTGGAGTAACACGTTTCTTATTTTGTAGGACTTGTTGAATCTGCTAGACATAGTAGTTTGAGGTAAATGCATATACGTTGTATCTCACCTGTACTGTGTGGGACACACAGCACTGTGCTACTTACACTATGTATTCATGGTTCCTGATTCCCCAGGGCACCTCCACGTTCCTGCTTCTAAATTCCTTTCTTATCCCCCAGGCTTCTGTCTGCTCTGTTCTTCTCAGAATTCTCACTCAATCTGATAGATATTTATCATGTGACTTTAAATACCTTCTATAGACAAATGTTTCCAAAATTTTTATCTTCAGTTGGAACTCCTCTACTGAATTCCAGACTTACAAATACAAAATTAAAAATAAAATTAAATTAATTCAATCCCACTTGGATATGTAATAATTATGCCAAATTTAACATGTCTGAAACTGGAATCTTTATTTCCACTTTAAATTCAATAGGTTTTATATAAAATAGTTTCCCTGAAACACATATTTTTCTGTATCTAAAAACCTCTTTATTATTTCATAGCCTTTAAGCAGTTCTAAAATAATTATTTTATTTTTAAAATTTCCACAATATAAGATCTTGTATATGGGGACAATTTCAATTATTTACTGCTGTGTAATGAACTATCTCAAGACATGGAGGCTGAAACCTGCTTTTATGATCTCCTCCAGTTGTGTGGGTTGGCCAGCCTCAGGTAGCTGGTTCTTCTGCTCCCTTTGGCATTGGCTGGAGCTGCAGTCACCTGAAGGCTTGACTTGGCTGGAAACATTCAAGATGGCCAGTCATATGGTATCCAGCTGGCTCTGGCCCCTAGCGAGGACTCAGCCAGGTTTATCATCTGAGGCACCTGTCCTCCACCCCATGGCATCTCTGTGTGACTTAGGCCTGTCTCACCGTTGCCACTTGGTTCCTAATGGGAGCCTTCTTAGCACCATAGGCAGATGTCACAGAAGACACTTGGGACCACTTATGTCTCATTATCTGGGTCACGGAAGGTCACAGAAAGATGGAAGGGGAGTGGAAGTATGCTTCGCTTTCAAGACGAGCAGTGGTAATGAGTTGCAGGTATCTTTAGTCCCCAGAGTCAGTCACTGATCACAATTATTTACATTCCTCCCACATGCAAAATACATTCACCACTTTTAAACCCTCTGAAATCTCATCTTATGTGGTATCATGCTCAGGTTTAAGGTCCAAGATTTCATCATCTGTGACATAATAAGAAATACACACATAAGTGCATATACACAGGCATATATGCATTTATATATACACACGTGTGTGTGTATGTATGTATATGAATAGTTTTCTCTCTCCCTGATTCCTGACACAGAGCTCCTAAAACACTAACTGCCTGATTGATAGGAGTGATAGGAGCATCTTTTGTTACAATATTTGATCTTGGCCCCCAGTTCCTGACATAAGAGCTGCTAAGACCCTTGGAATCTCCAGAATACTAAGATTGCCTTTTTAAATGTTAATGTTAGGGCAGTTATGGCCCTAAGATAGCTTCAAGAGGTCACAAGAAAGACCAAGGCATGATTAGAGAATTGGAAGTTTCAGTCGTACCCCGAGACCTTCAGAGAGGGGCTTGAGATTGAACTAATTACTAACAGCTGATGGTTTAATAAATCCTTCTACATAATGGAACCTCCTTAGAAGTCCCCAAATGATGGCATTTGGAGAGCTTCTGGGCTAATGAATGCATCCATCTGCTGGGAGGTGGTGTACCCAAACTCCACAGGGACAGAGGCTCCTTTGCTTGGGACCCTTCCCTACCTCCCCCATGTACCCCTTCTTCTGACTATTCATCTATGTTCCCCATAATCTCCTCTATATTAAACTGAAATAGTAAATAAACTGTTTCCCTGAGTTCTATAAGCCGTTGAACAAATTACTGAACCTGAGGACGGGTTGTGAAAATCTCCGATTTGTAGCCAAGTAAGACAGAAGTGTGGGTAACCTGGGGACCCACTATGTGCAAATTGGTGTCTGAAACAGGGGCAGCCTTGTGGCACTGGGCCCCTAGCCTATGGAGTCTATGTTAGCTCTTGGTAGTTAGTGTCATTGTAGGACAACCAGTTGGTGTCCACAGAGAGTTGGATAATTTGTTGTTTGTTGGGAAAAACGAAATGAAACAAAACAAAGCAAAAACACCTCCACACACACATTTGGTGTCAGAAGCGTTGGAGAAGAGAAATAGTTTTTTCCTTTTATCCTATAAATTACGTCCAATTGCAGATGAGGTTCTTTGCATATGTGTTTTTTTGCGGACACAGAGATCTATCTGCCTAAACAGCCTTTCTTCCCAACATAAAATGTGGTTCCAAGAACCAGATCACCACAACAGAAACCCCTGCTCAAAAAGGAGGTGGTATGGGCTGAATTGTGTTGCCCCCAGATTCATATATAGAGGTCCCAACCTCAGTATATCAGAATGTGACTGCATTTGGAGAAAGGGCCTTCAAAGATGTGATTATATTAAACTGAAGCCCTTGGTATGGGTCCCTAGTCCAATGTCTTTTTTTTTTTTTTTTTTTTTTTTTGAGACAGAGTCTTGCTCTGTCACCCATCCTGGACTGCAACCTCTGCCTCCCGGGTTCAAGCAATTCTCATGCCTCAGCCTCCCAAGTAGCTGGGACTATAGGCGCCTGACACCACGCCCCGCTAAATTTTGTATTTTTGTATTTTTCGTAGAGATGGGGTTTCACCATGTTGGCCAGGCTGTTCTTCAACTCCTGACCTCAGGTGATCCACCCACCTCAGCCTCCCAAAATGTTGGGATTACAGGTGTGAGCCACCACGCCTGGCCCAGTATGTCTTTATAAGAAAAAAGAAAAACACACTAGGGCTGTACATGCAGAACGGCCACATGAGGACATAGCCAGGAGGCACCGTCTGCAAACCAGGAAGAGAGGCCTCAGAAGAAACCAAAGCTGCCAGCACCTTGACCTTGGACTTCCAGCCTCCACACCTGTGAGTTAAGGAGAGGATGGTCAACAGGTGCAAAGTTGCAGTCAGGTAGGAGGAGGGAGGAATAAGTTATGGTACGTTATTGCACAGT
The DNA here is from genome assembly GCF_000001405.40 of Homo sapiens. Classification (NCBI taxonomy): domain Eukaryota; kingdom Metazoa; phylum Chordata; class Mammalia; order Primates; family Hominidae; genus Homo; species Homo sapiens. The sequence continues at coordinate 141,121 of NW_025791781.1, read as the reverse complement.
AGAGTGACTGTGGTTAACAATTATTTGCTGTATATTTCAAAATAACTAGAAGACAAGATTTTGAATGTTCTCATCACAAAGAAATAATAATTGCATGAGGTGATAGATTTGTTCATTACCCTGACTTGATTATTACATGATGTATACATGTATCAAAACATCACATTGTACCTCATAAATGCATGCAATTATTACCTATAAATTAAAAAATAAATTAATAAAAGTGCATACTGAAAAAAAGAGATGCTGGCAGTTGCTTTTAAGGATTTTTGTGGTAGTGGTCCTATAATTATCCAAACTCAGTTCAAGTAAGCACATCGGCACTTTCTTTTTTTTTTTTTTTTTTTTGAGATGGAGTCTCACTCTGTCACCCAGGCTATTGAGTGCAGTGGCGCGATCTCGGCTTACTGCAACCTCCACCTGCCCAGTTCAAGTGATTCTCCTGCCTCAGCCCCCAGTAACTGGGATTACAGGGTGCCCACCACCACGCCTGGCTAAGTTTTTGTACTCGCATTGACCCTTTCAACACTCTAATTGGAAATCTTACTCAGATCCACAGGGTCATTTCATACATTTTCTCACTTTCATCTTACCACAAATAATGTTTAATTATCAGTTATACAGTATCTAAATTGGAATTTCTTCTCATAGGCTTAAATAGTAATTTTGTGGCAAATTTCTCCCTGTCTTTCTAGCCTTCACAAATAGCCTGAGACTGATGCCTCGCTCCAAAGCCAACTTTACAATGGCAGTTTCTGTTTCAATCATATGTTGCTGAACAACCAAAGACCCCGAACTTAATTGCTTAAAACATTTAAGATCTCACAATTATGTGGGCTGACTGACAATAGGTTATTTACATTCTTTCCATGTAAAAATGCACACAGCCATTCCCAACATTCCCGGGTTCTCTTTCCGCGGGAGCAGTAGGTGCGGGCTGCAGGTGGCCGCTGGGCCACAGCACCCGGGAAGGTGCAGCAGGAGGTGCAGGCTCTGCCCTGGGAGAGCCCAGCTGAGGCTGCTGCCCAGGGCACTGTGATTTTCCTCCACTTGAACAAGCCATGTGGCTTAAGCTTGATATTTCGTGACTGGGTTCTAAAAGGGAGCATTTTGAGAAATGAGAATGCAACTTGCTGATTTCTGAAAGGCTCTGCCTTAGGAATTACTTTGCACCACCCTCACTGCGTTTTTCCAGTCAAAGCAAGTCCCGGAGCCAACCTAGATTCCAGCAGAGTGAAAGTGGTCTCTACTTCTGGGTTGGAGTGGTGGTAAAACGCATCCACCAGAGTCTACTTCGCTGTGTCTTGACTTACATGTGTAGTAAATAAATAATTTTTGAAACAGTGACTGAATGAAAGAGTGTGTGCTCTCATCCCAGCCAAGAACACATTTCTTTCACACTTTGTCACTTGAAAGAGCACTAATATTTCAAGATGTATTTTAATTATCCATTCTCTGAGAAGGCTTTTTAATTCATCTATCAGATAATGGCTTTCTTTTCATTTTAATTAAATTATAATGCTCTTCAGGCTCAGCATTGTATTTGAATAATATATTCATTCTTTATCTTCACTGGAATGCAGGCAAGTTGATAAAAGGACTGTATGTTGTTCACATATTTTCACCAGGTGCCTTTTCCAGTCTTTTTTTTATTACTCCTTAATAAATAATTGCTCAATAGTTGATATTTTAAATTATTCACATTTAACTATGACTTAAATATAGGCTTAAAAGTTTTTTTGAAAGCAACTTTGTTGATGGGAATACGTGTTTTTTGAAATAAAAATTTGATTTAAAAATTTTAGATTAGGCCGGGTGCTATGGCTCACGGCTGTAATCCCAGTACTTCGGGAGGCCAAGGTGGATGGATCACCTGAGGTCAGGAGTTCAAGACCAGCCTGGCCAACATGGTGAAACTCCATCTCTACTAAAAATACAAAAATCAGCTAGGTATGATAGTGCATGCCTGTAATCCCAGATACTCGGGAGGCTGAGGTAGGAGAATCACTTGAAGCTGATCCTGGGAGGGGGAGGTTGCAGTGAGCCGAAATCATGCCATTGCACTCCAGCCTGGGCGACAGAGCAAGACTTCATCTCAAAAGAAAAAAAAATAGATTAACAAAAATATTTTGAAGTTGGTACAGAGAATTCCAATATAACCAACATGTGTTTCCCCTGGTAGCAAAATTATACATTATTAGGGTACATTTGTTATAATTAAGAACCAATATTGATGCACCATTAAATAAAGCCCACACTGTATTCAGCTCACCCTAGTTGTTCTCTAATATCCCATTTCTGTTCCAGCATCCCATCCACTGTAGCACATTCGATTCAGCAGACATGGCTTTTGGGCTTCCCTTGGTTATGAGTTTCTCAGACCCTCTCATTTTTGATGACCTTCATAATGTTGAGGATTTCTGGCAGCTGTTTTGTAGAATTCCCCTCTATTTGGATTTATCTGATATTTGTCTCATAATTGGGCTGTGATCCCATGGAGTGTATGCATGAAGATCACAGAGAAGTAACATTTCCATTGCATTGTATCAAGGATACATACTGATGATATGACTTATCATTGTTGATATTCATTTAGGTCACCTGGCTGAGGCAGTGTTTTTCAGGTTTCTCTGCTAAAATATTTTCCCTCCCTCCTTGGAGGATTACAAGCTAAATGTAAATACTCTGTACTTTGTGGGAAGAAGACCCTACCTGCAGCACATTTAGCAAGTGAAGTTTTGCTCTACCTGCTTGAGGTAGTGCGTCTACATAAAGCATTTTCAATTTTTCTGCCCAAGAGTGTATCATGCCCCACTGAAATTCGCTTCTTACTCCCTTCGATATATATCTTCATCATTGTAATTTTTTGTATCACTTCTTATTTTCTGGCCTAACAAGATGTTGCAGGCTCATCTTGTATATTTTCTGCCCCAATCCTAGCAACAGCCATTTCTCCTGCTTCCTTTTATTGAAGAATGGTATAGAAACCAAATCTGCAGGCTGGATGTTGCTACTGGGGTTCCTTGCTTCTAGGACCTCTCAGCAGACAGAGCAAAATGTATGTATACTAATCTACATAGATATACACATATCTATAAAATGTTCTATATTGAACCATCTGTATCTATATTAAGCTAAATATAAGTTCATAGAAATGTCTTCAACTCCAGTCTATTGCCACACAGATCATTCTAGTGTCCTCTCCTTGCTTACCTATAACCTGTTACTCCAACTATATAAACCTGGCTCCCACCATCTGCCACCCATTTACTTAGTTGTGTACATTTCTAGTGGTTTCGGAATTGTCAACCTGTTCCCTGTGTGAAACAATTTTCTCAACTACAGTAGAGTGCTATGTACAATTTCCTTTGCCTTTAGTCTTACAGACTCCTTTAATTTCCAAAGATACTTAGCTCAGCATCTCCCTTTGCCTGCTTCAGTGAGGTTGTTTCACACATTTATAATATGTTTAAGTGATTTGGGGACATTCTGCATTCAATCCTGGGATCCCCAGCTTCCAAACTGACTTTTAAAAAATTTGTGTACATTAAGGTTAATCTTTGTACTGTAAGCTTCTATGGGTTTTTGACAAATACTCAGTATCTTAGTTTCATCATTACAGTGTACTCATAATTGCTTATAATTTGCTTCTAAATTAATAGAAAAGATTCACTGTAACTTTTTGACTTCAAACAAAAATAAATGCATGTTGATAATTTGGAAGGCAGCAGCAAACATGAGAGTTCAAGAAATAAAAAATAATTTAAAATTAATATCACAAAATTATCGTAAGAGCTATAGGATAGGTAAACATTAATAATCCCATGTTATTTTAGTTTAATTAATTCATAGATGACCTGAGCAATGACAATACACAATATTATATGGATTTATTTAGTCAAGAGAAAGTGAGATCATAATGAGAAAAAAAGAAAAACTCCGAAATTTTTTACCTTCCCTGTCTTAAAATGATTGATGGATGAAACTGCAAAAATAAAGGGTTCAATAAAATATTGTGGGTGGGCAAAATCTTATTAAAAATGTAAGTAGATAAATAGCTATTTTAAATGTACAACAATCAAATGTATTGAAGAATCCAGGTTGATTGTTACATATTTTGTTTTTTAAATATTCCATATATTCCCAGTATCAATGTTACGAATTATTAATAAAGGTGAATGCTACTACTTTTTCTTATGGTTTGAAAGGAATGTTCAAGCCAAGACAGATGTATTAGTTGTTCACTATGGAGATGGCATATTTGATATCTCCATTATCATTATTTAAACACACAATAGATGGAAAGAATTTGACAAGAGTGATGAGTTCTGTTGAGCAAAGGAAAAAGTTAGAATTGTTTGTAAGACCACATTTATATCACCTCTGAAAATGCAAAATACACGTTCTCTTTTAACAGTATTTTGACTCATTTTCACTTTAAAGCAGTATTTATTAAATTATGATCCTCAGAGCAAATATCAGAATTACCGATTTTACTGGCAAAAATGCACATATGAACCCAATTACAGCGAGTATGCAATACCTGCATATGAGGAATACATGAGTCCAACTACATTACTAAATCTGAACCACTGGAGGCATGAGTATAAGTACTTGTAGTTAGCTCTTCCAAATGCTTTTGTACAAATGATAAAGTTTGCTAAAGTATGTTTTCTTAGTTATGTTAGAAGATAAAGTTGTCAGATATGACATATTAATAGATTGACACCCATACCTATATCACATCCTCATTTTGAAACTTTAGTAATTAGCCTCTTCCATAAAAATCTAGACCCACTAAATAAATTCAAAGAAATGTTAAGTAGGATCATTTCTATAATAAACGTAAGATTTATCTGGTTGTTGATATCATTCTTATGCTCAACATTCAATAACAATTATAAGACTTTCTCTCTGACATGATGTAATTTTTATATAATGATAAATATATATTTGATCTTCCTTCCTGTTTCCTGGCACAAGCTTCTAAATAAAACCCTTGTAATTTCCTGTGTGATAGGGGATGATGGGAACCTCTTTTGTTATAATTTTTGGGCTTACTTCCCAGTTACTAACACAATAGTTGCTAAGACCTTGGACTCTCTGAAGTGACAGGACTGTCTTTTGTATGCCAATAGGATGACTAACAGCTGGAGCCCCTGGAGAGCATCAGGACAGAGGCAGGTCTCCAGACAGACCAAGGCATGACTAGAATGTAGGAAGTCTTAGCCTCCCCACTAGATCTTTAGGGAGAGGAGGAGGCTAAAAATTGAGTCAGTCACCAATGGCCAATGATAATAAATCATATTTACCTCCATAAAATTCTCTAAATTATAGGATTTGGTGAGCTTTCAGGTTGGCGAATGCATACACTCCATGGGATCAGAAACTCCTGTGCTCAGAGCTCTTCCGGACCACATCCTGTGTACCTCTTCATCTCCATGCTCATCTGTATCCTTTATGATATCCTTCAGAGTAAACCAGCAATAGTAAGTAAAGTGTTGCCCTGAGCTCTGTGAACTCTTCTCGCAAATTATGGAACCTGAGGAGAAAGTTGTGAAGATCCTCAACTTTGTACCCAAATCAGGCAGAAGTGTAGGCACCCTTGGCACTCTGTACTTGAACCTGGCATCTGAAGTGAGGGCAGTTTTATGGGACTGAGCCTTTAACCTGTGATGTCTATGCTAATTTGGTAGTTAGTGTCAGAATTGAATTGAATTGAATTTTGAGATGCCCATTTGGTATTTGGAAAGGGGAAGGATTGGCTGGTGTGGGTGAAAAATTCCACGTTTTGTGTCAGGTGTATTGTTAAGTACCAACAATACCAGTCAAGATAGCCTACACATTCAACACTGAAGATTATAACAGAAGATGATTATAATTTCTGTGATGAAAATAAAGAAGCTCCTTAAAATATATGACCAGAGAGAAGGTGGTGGAAGGGTGGAAATAATGACGATAAAAACAAATTAATATAATTAAAAAATAAACATAATGATTTAATTATCAAAGTATAATGTTGGTTCTCTGAACATACTTACAATTTTTTTCAAGTCTTTGGTAAAAAGCAGGACAAAGTATAAATATAGCTGCATAATAACTTTGGCCAGAGATTGGGCAGTGAGAAGTTGTGGACCAATCTTCTTGTCATATGGAGGAAGTAGTGAAGGGGGAGTCTGATACTTGGCTGTTTTCCTTTCTAGATGATGGCTGATTTGCATTTGAGATGATAAGGCGAACAGAACTTTCGGCAGGCTTATGGGGGTAGGGTGTATGACCTGCCAAAGATAAGAGGGTCCAGGAATTCAGCTGGGAACTCAAAGAGCAACATGAGTACATCTGAAACCCAAATTGGCAACTTACAGAGAACATGGATTAAGGGGATTCACCCATGGACTGCCTGCTCACGATTAGCAAAAATAAATCACTTCTGGAATAGGATAGCAAATAGAATATTATATATATGACAATAATCTGCAAAATTATGTGAGACCTTGTAGAGAAAACAATAAAATAGTAGTAAGAGAGTTTTTTAATTTCTAAAGAAATAGAAAGACGTAACATGTTTATAATTGTAAATATCCAAATTTTATTTATTTATTTATTTGAGAGAGAATTTCACTCTTGTTGCCCAGGCTGGAGTGCAATGGTTCGATCTCGGGTTACTGCAACCTCCGCCTCCTGGATTCAAGTGATTCTCCTGCCTCAGCCTCTCGAGTAGCTGAGACTACAGCCACACACCACCACGCTTGGCTAATTTTTGTATTTTTAGTAGAGATGGGGTTTCACCATGTTGTTCAGGCTGGTCTTGAACTTCTGACCTCAAGCAATCCACCTGCTTCGGCCTCCCGAAATGCTGGGATTACACGAGTGAGCCACCACGCCTGGCCAACATCCATATTTTAAATATGTCAATTATCCCCTTATCGATTAAAGATTCAATGTAATCGCCATCAAAATACTTAACAGATTCTTCTGTAAAAAATTCACAAGTTATTTCTAAAAGTTATATGGAAAGGCAAAGACTCAAGAATAGTGATGCATTAGTTTTTTTTTTCATTGCCATAAAGCTAGACTTGAGGTTGGATAATTTATAAAGAAAATATATTTATTTTGGCTTATGATTCTGCGGGCTGTACAAGAAGCACAGTGCTGGCATCTGCTTCTGGAAAGGGCCTCAGAAAGCTCACAACCATAGCAGATGGCAAAGGTGGAATCAGTGTATCACTTGGAAAGAGGGAGAGCAAGAAAGAGAGGGGAGGAGGTACCAGGCTCTTTTAAACAATGAGCTCTAGCTCTAACTAACAGAGAACTCGCTCATTATCGTGGGGAGGGCACCAAGCTATTCAAGAAGGATTCACCCCCATGACCCAAATACCTCCCACTAGGCACCATGTCCAACATGGGGTTCACATTTCAACAGGAGATGCAGAAGGGAAAAACATCCAACTGTACCAAGGGAAGACAATCATGAAGCAGAATGAAGTAGAAAGACAACATTATTAAACACCAACCCTCATTATAAAGCTATAGTAACTGACACTGAAGACAAGCACCAAAATAGACAATCAGACCAACCAAACATCGTAAAGAATCTGTAAACAAACCCAAAATGTTGGGAAGAGACAGTTTTGACAACAGTGACTTCAGATGCAGTGACTTAACAAGAAGCGTTTATAATTTTCACCCCACATCAGAAGCACTGTGAAAATTCAAAGCATACACGCTCTTTTGGGTGCTGGGCATGTACTGTGATTCACTTTCACAAATCTGCACTCAGAACAGTGGGAAAGATATATTCCCTTTTGAATATTCATAGGAAAATGAGTAACCCTGCATCTACCTTACCTTGTACCCAAAAATGTATACACGGCTGATTATATATGTAAATATGAAAAGCAAAATAAAGCCTTGAGGAGACAACGCAGTTGATCTTACTGACCTTCGAGTGGAAAAATATTTCTTCAAAGGTTACAAAAAGACCTAAATGTACTTTTAAAAAGACTAGACTGCAAAGTGGATCACATTCCGACAAGATCTTCTCATCGTAAGAATTCACCATTGAAAAATTTAAAATTAAGATGAATGGGGTAAGTGATTTTGTGTGCATATATCTAACAAAGAAATCATATGCCCACCATATATTCAGAATATGTCACAAACAACAAATCAATGAGAGGAAAAGCAGGGAATGCCCCAAATTATGGGCCAACTACTTGCATAGTCACTTTATAAAAATTATAAAAGTTGACCGGGCATGATGGCTCATGCCTAAAATCCCAACACTTTGGGAGGTTGAGGTGGGCAGATCGCTTGAGTTCAGGAGTTCAAGATGAGACTGGGCCAACATGATGAAACTCCATCTCTACAAATATTACAAAAATTAGCTAGTGCAGTGACACGCACTTGTAGTCCCAGCTACATGGGAGGCTGAGGCCGGCAAATCGCTTGAGCATGGCAAATCATTTGAGCCTGGCAAATTGCTTGAGGCCAGGAGGCGAGCTTGCAGTGAGCCGAAATTCCGCCACTGCTTTCCAGCCTGGGCGATGGAGAAAGACTCTCTCTCTCAAAAAAAAAAAAAAGAGAGACAGAAGAATCAAATAGACGCAATAAAAAATGATAAAGGGGATATCACCACCAATACCACAGAAATACAAACTACCATCAGAGAATACTAGAAACACCTCTACGCAAATAAACTAGAAAATCTAGAAGAAATGGATAAATTCCGCGACACATACACCTTCCCAAGACAAAACCAGAAAGAAGTTGAATCTCTGAGTACACCAATAACAGGCTCTGAAATTGAGGCAATAAATAATAGCTTACCAAGCCAAAAAAAGTCCAGGACCACACGAATTCACAGCCGAATTCTACCAGAGGTACAAAGAAGAGCTGGTACCATTCCTTCTGAAACTATTCCAATCAATAGAAAAAGAGGGAATCCTCCCTAACTCATTTTATGAGGCCAGCATCATCCTGATACCAAAGCCTGGCACAGACACAACCAAAAAAGAGAATTTTAAACCAATATCCTTGATGAACATTGATGCAAAAATCCTCAATAAAATACTGGCAAACCAAATCCAGCAGCACATCAAACAGCTTATCCACCATGATCAAGTGGGCTTCATCTCTGGGATGCAAGGCTGGTTCAACATACACAAATCAATAAACGTTATCTAGCATATAAACAGAACCAACGACAGAAACCACATGATTATCTCAATAGATGCAGAAAAGGCCTTTGACAAAATTCAACAACACTTCATGCTAAAAACTCTCAATAAATTAGGTATCGATGGGATGTATCTCAAGATAATAAGAGCTATCTATGACAAACCCACAGCCAATATCATACTGAATGGGCAAAAACTGGAAGCATTCCCTTTGAAAACTGGCACAAGACAGGGATGCCCTCTCTCACCACTCCTATTCAACATAGTGTTGGAAGTTCTGGCCAGGGCAATTAGGCAGGAGATGGAAATAAAGGGTATTCAATTAGGAAAAGAGGAAGTCAAATTGTCCCTGTTTGCAGATGACATGATTGTATATCTAGAAAACCCCATTGTCTCAGCCCAAAATCTCCTTAAGCTGATAGACAACTTCAGCAAAGTCTCAGGATACAAAATCAATGTACAAAAATCACAAGCATTCTCATACATCAATAACAGACAGGCAGAGAGCCAAATCATGAGTGAACTCCCATTCACAATTGCTTCAAAGAGAATAAAATACCTAGGAATCCAACTTACAAGGGATGTGAAGGACCTCTTCAAGGAGAACTACAAACCACTGCTCAATGAAATAAAAGAGGACACAAACAAATGGAAGAACATTCCATGCTCATGGGTAGGAAGAATCAATATCGTGAAAATGGCCATACTGCCCAAGGTAATTTATAGATTCAATGCCATCCCCATCAAGCTACCAATGACTTTCTTCACAGAATTGGAAAAAACTACTTTAAAGTTCATATGCAACCAAAAAAGAGCCTGCATTGCCAAGTCAATCCTAAGCCAAAAGAACAAAGCTGGAGGCATCATGCTACCTGACTTTAAACTATACTACAAGGCTACAGTAACCCAGACAGCATGGTACTGGTACCAAAACAGAGATATAGACAAATGGAACAGAATAGAGCCCTCAGAAATAATGCCACATATGTACAACTATCCGATCTTTGACAAACCTGAGAAAAACAAGCAATGGGGAAAGGATTCCCTATTTAATAAATGGTGCTGGGAAAACTGGCTAGCCATATGTAGAAAGCTGAAACTGGATCCCTTCCTTACATCTTATACAAAAATTAACTCAAGATGGATTAAAGACTTAAATGTTAGACCTAAAATCACAAAAACCATAGAAGAAAACCTGGGCAATACCATCCAGGACATAGGCATAGGCAAGGACTTCATGTCTAAAACACTAAAAGCAATGGCAACAAAAATCAAAATTGACAAATGGGATCTAATTAAACTCAAGAGCTTCTGTACAGCAAAAGAAACTACCATCAGAGTGAACAGGCAACCTACAGAATGGGAGAAAATTTTTGCAATCTACTCATCTGACAAAGGGCTAATATCCAGAATCTACAATGAACTCAAACAAATTTACAAGAAAAAAACAAACAACCCCATCAAAAAGGGGGTGAAGGATATGAACAGACACTTCTCAAAAGAAGACATTTATGCAGCCAAAAGACACATGAAAAAATGCTCATCATCACTGGCCATCAGAAAAATGCAAATCAAAACCACAATGAGATACCATCTCACACCAGTTAGAATGGCAATCATTAAAAAGTCAGGAAACAACAGGCGCTGAAGAGGATGTGGAGAAATAGGAACACTTTTACACTGTTGGTGGGAATGTAAACTAGTTCAACCATTGTGGAAGTCAGTGTGGCGATTCCCCAGGGATCTAGAACTAGAAATACCATTTGACCCAGCAATCCCATTACTGGGTATATCCCCAAAGGATTATAAATCATGCTGCTATAAAGACACATGCACACGTATGTTCATTGTGGCACTATTCACAATAGCAAAGACTTGGAACCAAGCCAAATGTCCAACAACAATAGACTGGATTAAGAAAATGTGTCACATATACACCATGGAATACTATGCAGCCATAAAAATGATGAGTTCATGTCGTTTGTAGGGACATGGATGAAAGTGGAAACCATCATTCTCAGCAAACTATCGCAAGGACAAAAAACCGAACACCGCATGTTCTCACTCATAGGTGGGAATTGAACAATGAGAACACATGGACACAGGAAGGGGGACATCACACATCGAGGCCTGTTGTGGGGTGGGGGGAGGGGGGAGGGATAGCATTAGGAGATATACCTAATGTAAATGACGAGTTAATGGGTGCAGCACACCAACATGGCACATGTATACATATGTAACAAACCTGCACGTTGTGCACATGTACCCTAAAACTTAAAGTATAATAATAAAAAAAAACTAATAGTGAAGAAATTAACACAGATGCAAAAAGAAAGCTCAAAACATTATTGATGTTAGCCTCAGACCTTATGAAGTTATCATAAATACAAATGGTATGTACAATAATACAAAAGTACAAAAAATACAAAGGATAATAATATAATACAAAATTTTGTAAAAAAATAAATATTAATAGAAAAAAATTACAAAAGTCATTATTTTTGTCAGAAAATTGTGAATTAAATCCTCAATACAATGTATGCAAAATGGCTAGCATTATAAAGACCAATGACACCAACAGTTTATGACAATGTGAAACAAATGGGATGCCTATAGATTGCTGGTTGGAATGTAGATTGTACAGGAACTGTATAAAACTATTTTTTATTATCTCCTAAAAATGAACATATCCTTTAATATAAAGATTTCATTCTTTGCTAAGTACCTAGAAAACTGCATCCATGTACAATGAGAGCACATGGACACAGCGAGGGGAGCAACACACACCGGGGCCTATGGGAGGGTGGGGGGCGAGGGGAGGGAGATCATTAGGACAAATACCTAATGCATGTGAGACTTAATACCTAGATGATGGGTTGATAGGTGCAGCAAACCACCATGGTACATGGCAAAGAGAATGAATAAATTACAAAGGCAAAATATGGATGAATTTCACAAACATAATTTTGAATAACATATAGTGAACAATATTACACTGAAGGTTATATTGTTTACATTGTGATCAATCGATTATTTTCGAATAGGTAAAGTAGTTTAAAATTGTTCTTTTTCCTTATTCTGATATCATGGTCAAAATCAACTATGTTACTTCACCTAAGATACTACAGGATCATCAAAATTTTTGCTCATAATGTGACTCAAGTTATTAATTTAAAATCATTGAGCATTTCTTATATTTTATAGTTTTACTGGCTGCTGACTTCTAAGCTATGGCTCATCACATTGAAGTCAAAAAGCTAGATAAATCTTGTTAATTTTAATGCAAATCGTAAGCATTTATGAAAAGTGACATATGGACACTGATGTAAATATACCACAAAGCAAAACATTAGAAGATACATTATTAAAAATTTACTACTGTAATGATGTCACAGAGAAATATCTATTTGTAAATACAAATAAGCATTTCTTTTTAAAATTCACGTATTATCAATATAGGCTTTGTGTTTTTCTCAGCCATCCCATTTCACATAATCCATTCAATAATAATAATAGTAATAACCTTCAGTAAGCAGGCAATTTTAACTAAACAATATTCAACATTACATAAAATACTAAAATATTAAAAGCAACATAGCAGATATTTAAGAAGAAAATTATGTTGTAAAAACACATTCAGTTAATTTTATAATTTGAGAAAATTTCATGCTACTAATTTGAGGTATATTTTGAGATACAATTTTATAAATAAAATATTTTCCAACAGAACATGGGAAAAACAGCTGGACACATCAAAATGTAATTATTTTCTAATAACAGAATGAGTCCTTCAGATTAAATGCTCTGGCCACAAAATATTCCTTATAGTAGATTTTGTTTTCTTAGTTGTTACTGATAAAACGTACTAGAGTTATTTTTTTACTTTGAAATGTGGGAAATGGATACTAAATTTTCAGTGAAGAGATGTTGTGTGTTCTTAAAACAACAGGAGTGTTCATAAAGAGTGCCAGTATATCCATCAATATTTCTCTGTGATTATCTGAATGATATACAATTACAAATCTTTTTCTTCTTTTTGTTTTCCAAATTTTCTACTTTGAGTAAAATAAGAACCCCTTCCTTACACCATATACAAAAATCAACTCAAGATGGATTAAAGTCTTTAATGTAAAACCCAAAACTGTACAAATCCTAAAAGACAACCCAGGCAATACCATCTTGGACATAGGAATGGGCAAAGATTTCATGACAAAGACACCAAAAGCAATAATAACAAGAGCAAACATCAACAGTGAGATCTGATTAAACTTAAGTGCTTCTGCAAAGCAAAAGAAACTATCAACAGAGTAAACAGACAACCTACAGAATGGGAGAAAAATTTTGCCAATTATACATCTAAAAAGTTGAAAAATAACAGATGCTGACCAGGATGCAGAGAAAATGGAAAACTTCCACACTGTTGGTGAGAGTGTAATTTAGTTCAACCATTGTGGAAAGCAGTACAGTGATTTCTCAAAGAGCTAAAAGCAGAACTACCATTCGACCCAGCTGTGTCACTGCTGGGTGTATGCCCAGAGGAATATAAATCATTCTACTATAAAGACACATGCACGTGTATGTTTATTGCAGCACTATTCACAATAGCAAGACATGGACTCAACCTAAATGCCCATTAATGACAGATTGGATAAAGAAAATGTGGTACATATACATCATGGAGTACTATGTAGCCATAAAAAAGAACAAGATCATGTCTTTTGCAGGAACATAGATGGAGCTGGAGGCCATTATCCTTAGCACATTAATGCTGGAACAGGAAATACCACGTTCTCACTTGTAAGTGGGAGCTAAATCATGAAAACGTATGAAGACAAAGAAGGAAACAACACACACTGGGATGTACTTGAGGGTGGAGAGTGGGAGGAGGGAGAGGAGCAGAAAAGACAATTATTTGGCACTGGCCTTAATACCTGAGTAATGAAATAATCTGTACAACAAACCCCCATGACATGAATTCACTTAGGTAACAAACCTGCATTTGTATCCTCGAACCTGATTTTTTTTTTAAAAAAACAGCACAAAAAAGATAAATACAAAGACATATATTGTTAAAATACATATTAAACTTAATTCTACCTATCAACAAAGCATTTGTTAAATATTTAGTCTCATATTTAATTCATGTTGTAATTTAACATCAACTATTCAACAATTATTTATTAAGAGCTTGTATGTTAGATACAGTGAATGCCACTTGTAGACAATTATTAATAAAATGTTCCATTTTCAACTTGCTATTCCATGAAAAAAGGAATTGAATATAATTCTTACCTATGATGTTGGCTATGAAAAGTGTTATAATGCAATTAAAATTAAGTGAAAGTTATCATTTCTAGTAGAGGAAAAAAAAAAAAACCTTCCCAGAGAATGCAGCAGTAAACTAGACCTTGAAAAATGAATACTTTTTACATTGACAGAGTGAAGGTAAAAATGAATCTATTCTAAGAGTATTTATTCTTTTATTCATATATATATTCCAGATATATTTAATACATACTAAGTCCAGCCCAATTGCATGTTCCTTGTGATGAAATAAAGGTGACAGGAATTTTTTTGCCACTCTTCATATTGTTAGGTAAAGTCTCATTCCACTGTCCTTGAAGATAAGTAGAGCCTGGCCTTATTTTCACTAATACAATGTGACTGAGGCCAGAGCTGAGCCTTTAAGAGATCTTCAGCTCCTATCTCTACTGTCACAGTGCTCTCTTTTCAACCTCACCATCAAGCAAGGTGCACCCCAGACTGAGTGCAAATTGGATTGTGGGGGAAAAAAGCAATTAAATGTTGGATTTATTTTAGGCAAAGAAACAAATTAACATTGATAGCCTGTTTTATATCAGTCATTTTATCTGGAAAAGTAAATATGTAATTTTATTTTTCACAACGATTTTAGAAGTTCCTTTCAGCCGAAAAGTCTTGCTTGTTGTGATAGATCGTGAAGTATGAACAAAAACAGTATTTTTTTTTTTTACTTTAGTGATGAAATAGTTGTGGTGACACCAATGTCAAGGGTGAGCCTAAAGAAAGGTGAAGCTGAATTAAGCTGGAAGCAAATGTCACTGGGTGGAGGAGGCCAAGGAATTGTGAGGTCATGGTGTTGATGGAATTATGGACATTGACAAGGAGGTAATCACGGTGCTGTCTGGAGTTGTTGAGTGGATAAAATGAACTAGCACCAAAATTCACAGCAGGAGTAAAAAACTGCTTCGATTGTTAAACAAAAAGATGCTGCTGTATTTTTAACACAGGAAGGTTTTCTGCCGTTTCCACTTCTGTGGACCCTGTGTTATACGTCACTTCTATTTCTAATCTCTCTCTTGCTCTTCTCCGTGGTCACCCCACCCTGCCTTTTACACGAAGCATTCTGACAACACATTATTTTGAGTTCTTATCTCACCTTACACGTTTGCATTTCACAACTTGATCCATTCCCCAGAAATCAAATATTATCTGAATAATAATCACATCACTACCAAGTGAATGCAATGGTGAATTACCTCTATACAGAGAATAATTTAAAATTGTCTAAACATGTTTTCTGCTCAAGATAATAGATTGAGCCAACATGCTTGCTTCTCTTTTCTTTCTACCTAGAGTTTAGAGAGCAGGGAAAATATTTTTCATGACCATTATACAACTATTGGAAGATAAGAATGGATACAACCAGCAAACCAAGCATTTCCAAGGGTTTTAATAAGGAAGAAAGATGTTATCAAATCAACAGACAGACTAGAATAGAGCAAATCCAAGCCTGAGGATGTCTGAGTTTGCTGCTGCACAGAGGGTGCTGACCCATGAGATCCAGAGAAATTGCAATTCCCAGTCAACAGCTGCAAGGACCAGCAGATGTCCATGGAAAATCACTACGAAACTAATGCACTGATGACTTCTGAAACATCCAGGCCTATATGCCGCACACCTCCACCTATTTATAAGGATTCATTGCGTATTGTATTTGACCCCAGAAAGTAGAGCTAAATGGACTGTTTTCTAAACAAATTCCAGCAGTTAAATCCAGCGGGTCTCTAATGTAGGTTGGAGTCTCCAGAGAGAAATAGAGCATGAGGCAAATTGAAACACTGTAAAGAATATGAACAAGACCAAAAAAGTAAGGACAAAAAGGACACAGCTGTTCTCCAAGCCACTGTCCATGAGAAAACAGTATTGATAAATAGGAGTGGCCTTTCAGCACTCTTCCAATAACGCACAAATAAAGATGTCTGTGATGGCACCATTGGGGTGCCACCACTGGGGTCCACAGTTGGGGTCCACAGTTCCAGATGCCCATTGAGGGAGAGGCCTTGGCCACCACTATCCACATTAGACTCAGATTAATGGAAATACTGGACACAGGGGTTTTCTCCTTATTTGTTATTCCAAGTAGACAAAAGAAAGTCAATACAAATAGGATATGAGGATGCTAACAGGTAGGCCAGAGAGTGGTATAAATTTCCAGTCTCAAAATCCTCACCAAAGGAAGCTCAGTTATGGATGATCTTTTGAATGAGGTTCACATCTGACCTTCAGTATTTTTCACCATCCTCTTCCAGGAACAGCCTTATATATGAGTATTTGTACTCATTTTGTAAATATGCTGGTCTTATTATATGCTGAGTGTCATTTCATATGGTTCAGGTGCACACCAGAAAAACTCATTGGTGCCAATAGTTATAATGATTGCAGCATGTTAAAATACACAGATAAATAAAACATTTATCACCTTCATGCTTCCTAAGTAAATATACTTCATTGTGAGTTTATTCCTCCTGTTCTCAGTACTGGAAAACAGGATCTGATTAGTTATCTTGACAGATCTAGGAATCATGTTACTAGTCCTTTAGATCAGTGATGGAACTGATCCCATTGGCTTGCGCAGCCATGGGAAACATGCAAACCTCACCACACTCTATCCAGTCACTGATGTGAAACCAGAATCAATAGACAGCAGGTAAATTTAGAGCATGAAAGAGAAAATGCAAGTGAATGAATGGGACAATTGACCTCTGAAAAAATATTTATTCAACAAAAATCATAAAATATTTTTTCTAATCAGTATTCACAGATAGATTTTAAATTACAGTGTCTCCTTATCAAAAACTGCAATGTGATGAAAATGAATAAAGAGTATAAAGAAAGTCTTGTAAATTAAAAGTATTGATATGTAATATATTTTCAAACTAATTAATGGGTCAAATAGGAGAACTGATTTAAACACAGTAAAATAATCAAGACATGGAAACTATAAGTACACATATTGGGGCATGAAAGCTAGAAAATAAGGTATTTTTCTATGAGTAGTACAGAAGAAGATGAAAGAAAAGAATGATAGAAATTATTATCATCCTCACCACAACCACTATCATCATCATCATCACCACCATCACCACCACCACCATCACCACCATCATCATCATCACCATCACCAACACCACCATCAACACAACCATCATCATCAACACTATCATCACCACCACCACAATCATCTCCATTATCACCACAACCACCATCATCATCACCACCACCACCACCATGATCATCACCATCATGATCATCATCATCATCATATTATGGCCACATAGAAAGAAGCACACTGAGCTTTTGATGTGAAAGCCCATGACAGGAGAGAATAAAAAATGAAAAATGGTTCACATATGCTGGTAAAATTTCAAATTTATAAGACTAATAAAAAAGAAAATATAATGTGTGAGGGACAGAAAAATGAAAGTGTACATTTAAATGAATGAGAATCAAATAAAAATCCTAGAAAGACAACTGTATTGTGTAGGTATTGATTCATCTTGGAGGAGGTACTGCACTGCTTCTTCTGTGAGAGTGTAAAAGGAAGGAGGAAGAGGGATTATGGAATTTAAAATATAATTGTCTGTCCGTGTAAAATCAAATGCAACTGGACCCATGCTGAAAAATTCTATCATCAGAGTTCTCCAAACCCTCCAGTTGTTATACTCCCAAACTCTGCTGATACTTGGTTTTGCTTGTTTCTATGTTTGTTGTTTGACTGTTTGATCTTTAGTTATAAAATCTGTCTTGTCAGGAACACAGAGAATAAATAATGAGTTGACAACATCTGCAAGAAAATATTTTAAAAATTATCAGATAAAATAGCAGAAAGTTAGTAAAGAAATTATATTTAAAATAAGAAAAAGAATAAAGACAAATCTAAAAGCAATGTAAGTAAAAATATTTACAAATTTGATGGATGAGTAAATGGTTGTATTTTCAGTTACAAAGGAAGCCCTTGAAGTAAAATTCAGGTGAAACGAGGCATCTGGGATAGTTAATACTGAGTGTCACCTTGATGGCATTGAAGGATGCAAAGTATTGATTCTGGGTGTGTCTGTGGGGGTGTTGTCAAAAGAGATTAACATTTGAGTCAGTGGGCTGAGAAAGAAAGACAGACCCACCCTTAATCTGGGTGGGCACCATCTAATCAGCTGCCAGTGCAGCCAGGATATAAAGCAGGCAGAAAAACATGAAAAGGGTAGACTGGCTTAGCCTCCCAGCCTACATCTTTCTCCTGTGCTGGATGCTTCCTGCCCTTGAACATCCAAACATCAGACTCTAAGTTCTTCCGCTTTGGGACTCGGACTGGCTTCCTTGCTCCTAAGTTTGCAGATAGTCTATTGCAGGATGTTGTGATCGTGCGAGTTAATACTACTTAATAAATTCCGCTTTATAGGTATATGTATAACCTATTAGTTCTGTGCCTCTACAGAACCCTGATTAATACAGGTTTTGGTACCAGGAGTGGTTCTAGAGGAACAGAATATTAAGAATGGAGTTCTTTCATTGGTTTTGGGGTTTCTGGAGTTGGCTACTTAATATGATTAGATCCAAAGATGCTAAGGACTCTACTTCTAATAGTATGGAGAACACTGATAGTCCTTGGCATGAACTGTTTAGAGACTGATGCCAAAAAAATGCATTTGACACTCCTGATTCACAACTATTGAGAGGCAAAAGTTTAGTGACTCTATACATAATACTTTGACTATGTCTAGATAACCAAGGAACATAATGAAGTTTGTTGGTTGCTCCTAAGTTCACTGGACAAAATGATGAAAGAAAATGATGAACTCAGAGATTCAAACTCCCAACTTTGGAAGCAGATACTGAGCCTCAAATCTGCTAAGATTGCCCTAAGTGAGAGTCTTATTTTCTGTAAAGAAAGAGCCGAAATTGTGGACAAACAGACACAAGCTCTTATCATGCAGTGGCTGACCTGCAATGAAAGGTTTATGCACTGCCTTGCCAAGTGTCTACTGTTAAAGTGAGGGCATTGATTGGAAAAGAATGGGATCCTGCAACTCAGAATGGGGAGTGGGAGGACCCTGATGAAGTTGGGAACACTGAGCTTGTAAACTCTGATGAAACTTTTTGACAGAAGGAACAGCTTCCCCATTCCCAGTAGTGGCAACATCCCCTCCCCAACCTATGCTCCCATCAGCCTTTCCACCTTTGTCTGAGGAGATAAACCCTGTGCTACCTCAGGCAACATTGATGGCCTCCCCTGAGGCAGTTGCTGGGGAAGATAATGTCGATTCTCCTCTGAAGCCACCCCAACACCCCAATGCCCCTGTTTGTTTCTAGACCTATAACTAGACTAAAGTCCCAGTGGGCCCCTAGAGGTGAGGTTAAGAGTATGACCCATGAGGAGGTGTGCTACACTTGAGAAGAACTGCTTGAGTTTTCTAATTTATATAAGCAGAAATCTGGAGAAGAGGCATGGTAATGGATATTAAGGGTATGGGATAATGGTAGAAGGAATATAGAGTTGGATCAGGCTAAATTGTTTGATTTGGGCCCACTAAGTAGGGATTCTGCATTTAGTGTTGCAGCTCAGGGAGTTAAAAAATGTTCTAATAGTTTAGTTGCTTGGTTAGCTGAAATATGGATTGAAAGATGGTCCACTGTGAGTGAGTTGGAAATGCCTGATTATCCTTGGTTTAATGTAAAGGAAGGGATCCAAAGGCCTAGGGAGATTGGGATGGTGGAGTGGATGTCACCTTAGACCTACTCATCTCAGCTGGGAGGGACCAGAAGATATATCCTTGACCAATGCTTTGCAAAATAGATTTGTGAGGGCAGCACCTATATCTTTGAAGAGCCCTGTAATTGCTCTTCTCTGTATATCAAATCTAACAGTGGGAACTGCAGTCACTCAACTATGAAATTTAAATACAATGGGAATAATTGGATCCCGAGGTGGCAGGGGCCAAGTGGCAGCACTCAACCATCAAAGGAAAGGTGGGCATAGCTACTATAATGAACAGCAGAGGCAAAGCAGCAATCAGAATAGTCTGACTTGTGTAGAGCTCTGGCATTTGCTAATTACAGTGTTTCTAGAAGTGAATTTGATAGGAAGCCGACTGCATTCCTACCTAATTTATATAAGCAGAAAACTTCCAGGTCGAGTGGACAAATGATTGATTTGAATTATAAAAACAGAATCACAGCCCCTCAGTCAATTTCCGGACTTGAGCCAGTTTACAGACCCAGAACCCCTTGAATGAAGGGGAGACCAGGTCCCCTTGAGGAAGGATCCTGTTACCTTACCAACAATTTATGCAGTGAGTCTTTGTCCCATCCTTCCCCAAGGAGACCTCCAGCCTTTTACCAGGCTAACTCTTCATAGGGAACAGGGAAATGATCAGACATTTCAGGGACTACTGGCCATTGGCTCTGAGCTGATGTTGATTCCAGGGGACCCAAAATGTAATTGTGTTCTTCCAGTTAACATAGCGGTTTATGGAGGTCAGGTAATTAATGAAGTTTTAGCCCAGGCCTGACTTACAGTGGGTCCTGTGGATCCCTGAACTCATCCTGTGGTCATTTCCCCAGTGCCAGAATGCATAATCGGCATAGACAGACTTAGCAGCTGACAGAACCCCCACATTGGCTCCCTGACTGGTAGGGTGAGGGCTATTATGGTGAGAAAGGCCCATTGGAAGCCATTGGGGCTGCCTCTACCCAGAAAAATAGTAAATCTAAACCATTATTGCATTCCTGGAGGGATTGCAGAGATTAGTGCCACCATCAAGGACTTGAAAGATGCAGGGGCAATGATTCCCACGACATTCCCATTCATCTCTCCTATCTGGCCTGTGCAGAAGACAGATGGATCTTGGAGAATAACAGTGGATTATTGTAAGCTTATCCAAGTGGTGACTCCAATTGCAGCCGCTGTACCAGATGTAGTTTCATTGCTTGAGCAAATTAACACATCTCTTGGTACCTGGTATGCAGCCATTGACTTGGCAAATGCCTTTTTATCCATTCCTGTCCATAAGTCCCACCAGAAGCAATTTGCCTTCAACTGGCGAGGCCAGTAATATACCTTTACTGTCCTACCTTAGGGGTATATCAACTCTCCGGCTTTGTGTCACAATCTTACTCAGAGAGATCTTGATTGTTTTTTGCTTCCACAAGAAATCACACTGGTCTGTTACATTGATGACATTATGCTGATTGGATCCAGTGAGCAAGAAGTAGCAAACACATTGGAATTATTGGTGAGACATTTGTGTGCCAGAGGATGGGAAATAAATCTGACTAAAATTCAGGGACCTTCTACCTCAGTAAAATTTCTAGGGGTTCAGTGGTATGGGGCCTGTTGAGATATTCCTTCTAAGGTGAAGGATAAGTTGCTGCATTTGGCCCCTCCTACAATCAAGAAAGAGGCACAATGCCTAGTGGACCTATTTGGATTTTGGAGGCAACACATTCCTCATTTGGGTGTGTTACTCCAGCCCATTTATTGAGTGACCTGAAAGGCTGCCAGTTTTGAGTGGGGTCCAGAACAGGATAAGACTCTGCAACAGGTCCAGGCTGCTCTGCCACTTAGGCTTTATGAGCCAGCAGATCCAATGATGCTTGAGGTGCTAGTGGTGGATAGGGATGCTGTTGGAGCCTTTTGCAGACCCCCATAGGTGAATCACAGCAGAAGACTCTGGGATTTTCGAGCAAGGCCCTGCCATCTTCTTTAGATAGCTACTCTCCTTCTGAAAGACAGTTCTTTGCCTATTACTGGGCTTTGGTGGAAACTGAATGTTTGACAATATGTCATCAAGCCACCGTGTGACCTGAACTGTCTATCAGGATCTGGGTGCTTTCTGACCCATCTAGCCATAAAGTAGGTCATGCACAGCAGCATTCCATCATCAAATCATCAAATGGAAGTGGTATACACATGGTTGGGCTTGAGCAAGTCCTGAAGGCACAAGTAAGTAACATAAGGAAGTGACTCAAATGTCCATGGTCCCCACTCCTGCCACCCTGCCTTCTCTCCCTCAGTCTGCACCGATGGCCTCATGCGGAGTTCCCTATGATCAGTTGAGAGAGGAACAAGAAGATTAGGTGCTGGTTCACAGATGGTTCTGCACGATATGCAGGCACCACTTGAAAGTGGACAGCTGCAGCACTACGCCTTTCTTGGACATCCCTGAAGGACAGTGGTGAATACAAATCTTCCCAGTGGGCAGAAGGTTGAGCAGTGCCCCTGGTTGTGCCCTTTGCATGGAAGGAGAAATGGCCAGATGTGTGATTATACAATGATTTATGGACTGTAGCCAATGGTTTGGCTGGATGGTAAGGGACTTGGAAGAAGCATGATTGGAAAATTGGTGACAAAGAAATTTGGAAAAGAGGTATGTGGATGAACTTCTCCGAGTGGTCAAAAACTGTAAAGACATTTGTATCCCATGTGAGTGCTCACCAACTGGTGAGCTCAGCAGAGGAGGATTTTAATAATCAAGTGGATAGGATGACTTGTTCTGTGGACACAACTCAGCCTCTTTCCCCACACACCTTTGTCATTGTCCAATGGGCCCATGAACAAAGTGGCTATGGTAGCAGGGATAAAAGTTACACATAGGTTCAGCAACATGGATTTCCACTCACCAAGGCTGACCTGGCTATGGCCACTGCTGAGTGCCCAGTTTGCCAGCAGCAGAGAACAACACTGAGCCCTCAATATGGCACCATTCCTTGGGGTAATCAGCCAGTTTCTTGGTGACAGGTTGATTATATTGGACCTCTTCCATAATGGAAAGGGTAGAGGTTTGTCCTCACTGGAATAGACACTTAAGATGGACATGGGTTTGCCTATCCTGCACACATGCTTCTGCCAAGCCTACCATGCGCGGACTCACAGAATACCTTATCCATTCTCATGGTATTTCACACAGCATTACCTCTGACCAAGGAATCACTTTACAGCTAAAGAAGTGCGGCAGTGGGCTCCTGCTTATAGAATTCACTGGTCTTACCATGTTCCTCATCATCCTCAAGCAGCTGAATTGATAGAATGGTGGAATGGCCTTTTGAAGTCACATTTACAGTGCCATCTCGGTGACAATACTTTGCAGGACTGGGGCAAAGTTCTCCAGAAATCTGTGTATGCTCTGAATTAGCATCCAATATATGGTATTGTTTCTCTCACAGCCAGGATTCTTGGGTCTAGGCATCAAGGGGTGGAAGTGGAAGTGGCACCACTCACCATCACCCGTGGTGATCCACTAGCAAAATTTTTGCTTCTTGTTTCTGTGATATTATGTTCTGCTGGCCTAGAGGGAGGAATGCTGCCACCAGGAGACACAACAGTGGTTTCATTAGACTGGAAGTTAAGATTGCCACTTGGACACTTTGGGCTCCTCCTACCTTTAAGTCAACAGGCTAAGAAGGGAGTTACAGTGTTTGCTGGTGGGATTTACCTGCACTATCGAGATGAAATCAGTCTACTTTTCCACAACAGAGGTAAGGAAGAGTACGCATGGAATACAGGAGATCCATTAGGGCGTCTCTTAGTATTTCCATGCCCTGTGATTAAGGTCAATGGGAACCTACAACAGCCCAATCTAGGCAGGACTACAAATGGTCCAGACCCTTCAGGAATGAAGGTTTGTGTCACTCTACCAGGAAAAAAACACTACCTGCTGAGGTGCTTGCTAAAGTCAAAAGGAATACAGAATGGGTAGCAGAAGAAGGTAGTCATCAATACCAGCTATGACCACGTGACAAGCTGCAGAAACAAGGACTGTGATTGTTATGAGTATTTCCTCTTTCTTTCATTAAAAGCAGGTTTGTGCATGTTTACACTTGTACTAAGAAAATATCTTCATTTTGTTTTCTTTTTCCTTTATCATGTGACATAACATTTATTAATTTCATATCAGCACTTAAGTATTGTTAACTTTATGTAATAGTATTTGGGTTGGGGATTAGTGCATTTCCGGTTCTAAGAAGGATAGTTGTATTATGTTAGGCAAAATTATGACCTTATTATTGTCTTTATTTGAAGATTATGTATAATCTCAGGGGATGTGTATGGGTTCAATTTGACGAGGGGTGGACTTGTGATGGTTAATACTGAGCGTCAACTTGATTGCATTGAAGCATGCAAATTATTGATCATGGTTGTGTCTGTGAGGGTGTTGCCAAAGGAGATTCATATTTGAGTCAGTGGGTTGGGAAAGCAGACATATCCTTAATCTAGGTGGACACCATATAATCAGCTGCCAGTGTGGCCAGGATATAAAGCAGGTAGACAAACATGAAAAGGCTGGACTGGCTTAGCCTCCCAGCCTACATCTTTCCCCCAAGCTAGATACTTTCTGCCCTCAAACATCCACTCATCGAACTCCAAGTTCTTCAGCTTTGGAACTCGGACTGGCTTCCTTGCTCTTCAGCTTGGAGACAGCCTCCTGTGGGACCTTGTGATCATGTGAATTAATACTCACAAGAGTATTAGTATAGTAAAAAAAATATATATATATATATATATATATATATGAAGAGAGTTTATTGAGTAGCATTTTATATATATATTTTATATATATTTTTATTCTGTATATATATTGAGTTTATTTAGTATTATATATATTTACATATATATATATTTTTTCTATTAGTTCTGTCCCCCTGGAAATCCCTGACTAATATACCATCTAATGAAAGAGTAAATGATGAACTCTTTTTGAGATTCTTGTAATTCTTGACACCATAGATACCTTCAGTAGTAAATTTTAAACTGACAAACATAGCAAGTGAGTATTATCCAAAGATGAGGTTAACCCTGATTTTTCTGGCAATTTCCCTGCTCTCTTGGTTGCTTTGTGCTGAAGAGTGAATGTTTCAGATATAATAGCTGAAGTCACTGGTGTATGAGAGTAACTTGGTGCCCAATCTATTCAGCTCTTATCATATATACCTTTAAACATTTTGGATTAGCTGTACTCAATTGAGGAAATGATTAATTTGTGTACTGAATATGTGTCTGAATCGCCATTACAGGTAGCATATACCCTTGGGAAAGCAAGTTTTCTAAGCTAATAATCAATTTAGCTTGTTGAGTAAGCAGGTCTTCCAGCAGATTTAAATAAGGAAGAAAAGCATCCTATTCAGTGGATAGCACTTATTTATTTTGGCCAGTGTCTGTAATCACATAGTTCTTCTATCATGATTAGATTTAAAAACTATTGTCACCACAGGGAATTTTTATTGATCAAGTCTGTCATTTTAAAATTTCAATTAAAATGTATAGCTGTGTTGCCTGACAAAAATGAACTGTATCAAATAGTAAAGTAAAGGCCTTGGATTGGGATTATGGAGACGCTGATTTTTAGTTTGGGATCTTCCCTTTATTAGTATTTCACAATCCCTTCAATGATGTTCAAATATCAGCATCCAATAAATCCTTATAACTATGGATCTTTAATGAACTTGAATATTGCTATTGAATATGGCAAAATATTTTATAGCTGTAGACCTTTAATACATTTGAATAATCATTATTAAAAATGAAATTTTCCCTTTGCTGAATTGTAAAAACCAAATATATTTTAACCCAGTTTTTACATATGTAGAGGGCACGTTCTTCTTAATTAGGCAATGTCTTTACAATCAGGATTAACTCTACAGAAAATAGTGAAATAAACATTGGCAATGGCCAAAAAGCCATCCTTGTTCTTATACTTTACTTTCATTCACACACCATGATGGTGCTCAAGTGACCTTATGATGTTCCATGATCTCTGAATCAACACCTGTGGATAGGAAGAAGAAATTTATGTCTGTCTATGCACTTTGGTATGAATCACTTTGCTAATGCATTATTGCCCTAAGACTTACCCATTTAATTTTGGTGATGGGATGAGTACCTTTATTCTGCTAACAGAATTTTTAGGCAGCTATAATAAAGCTAGATGCTTTGATGAGGAGAAAAGTGAGACTCAGATTCCTTATTCTGAACCATGCATTTACACCATTAGGAAATGTCTATGTTGCTGATTCATAAACTCAGTCCTAAATATATGGCTTTCTGTTCCATAGAGAGAGAGCAAAAAAAAAAAAAAAAAAAAAAAAATCACATGCTGTTCTTAAATGAGTAAATAAAATGTTGTTGCAGAAAACAACCAGATATTGAAGAACCTTGGAAGCTATGTCTTATCTTAGTGATCATCAACTCCCAATAGATTTGGAAAGACATTACATCATGCACAATTCCTGTCTCTGACTCAGCAAGACATTATAGCACCTGCTTGGAAAATAATGCTTTTTTAGGTGTACAAGGATATTCAGAATACAATTTACTATAGCCTTAAAAAGAAATCTATTGTACAAGCTTAGAATTATGGAAGTGCAAGCCTTCTTATAGATTTGTATAGTCTATCGGTGATTCTCTTTTTTACCTATTACCAAAGGTATCTTTATATAATTTTCTCTTCAGAAATTCATCTTCTGAAAAATCTGGAAACGTATTTTCTAACAAGCATATCTGTGCAACTGAAAATACTCTTATTTAAAGGTTATTAAGGAAATACATTTTGAGTTGGACTAGGTCTTTATGAGACAGCCACTATTACAACATGAGCTGAAATGTTTCTAGTGCAGAGTGAAATATCCATTTTCTGTGAATGTATCTGAAGATCTCTGGCATCCCCAGAGCTAGGTTTGATAGGCCCAGTGGAAGTGGAGAAATGGAGGCCAGAGAGAATTTATCACAGGGGGCCTCAGTAAGAGGTGTCAGAATGGAAGCTGTCCCACTTCTCCATAAAACAGCTACAGTAAAAATGCAAACTCTCCATTCCTTCAGCTTTGCATGAATTTACACATAATCTCTTATGTGTATGTTACACTTCCAAATTGAGAAGAAATGGCAAACTATCCTATTTGTGTTTTACTATATTACTGGTATTATATTTATTATTATACATAGTTATAGTTGACCCTCGAACAATGCAGGAGTTAGGGGCACTGTCCTTTTGCAAAGTCAAGCATTGTATAACTTTTGACTCCCCCAAAATAACTATCAATAGACTACTGTTGATTGTAAACCTCACTGATAACATAAACAGTTGATTAACATGTATTTTGTGTATTAAATACTGTATTCTTAGAATAAAGTAAGCTAGAGAAAAAAGTTATTTAAAAAATCATAAGGAACAGAAAATACATTTGACTAGTCATTAAGTGAAAGTCAATCATCATAAAGGCCAACATTCTCCTTGTCTTCATATTGAGTAGGCTGAGGAGTAGGAGGCAGAGGAGGAGTTGGTTTTGCTGTCTCAGTGGTGGCAGAGGCGGAGGAAACCTGCACAAAAGTGAGCCCCAGTAGTTCAAGCCTCTGTTGTTCTAGGGTCAACAGTATAAATCAGTATTATATTATTATAATAACAAATTCCTATTAGGTGAGTTGAAAACTTTTTAAGTTTTCTTAAATAATAATTATAAAACTTACACATGCTCCATTCTCCTATCTTCTGAGCTCTCCCCCCTCTATAATTCTCCGGAATAGGTAATGTTTGGAGAAGAAAGAAGAAAAGATGGAGAGCTAGTTGGACAGACAGTTAAGCATGTGGATAAATAAAGAGATACTAAATAGATAACTAGCTGGATGAAGATACAAAGTTGGAAAGATAGATAAGGTGTTCATATGTAGCATATAGAATAATGATAATTGCAAACTTCATAAAATTCAGAACTGAGTGATTGCAAGAAAGAGTTTGGGTATATCATCAATTAATTTTTTCATCTAACAAGATATTTATTGCTCATTTATTTTTTTTTTAAGACAGAATCTCACACTGTTGCCCAGGCTGGAGTGCTGTGGCACCGTCATAGTTCACTGCAGCCTCGACCTCCCAAGCTCGAGGGATCCTCCTGCCTCAGCTTCCTCAGTAGCTGGGATTTATAAGTGTGCACGATTACACCTGGATAATTTTTAAAATTATTGTAGAGATGGGGTGGGGTCTCTCTATATTGTGCAGTCTGATCTCAAACTCTTAGGCTCGAGTGATCTTTTCGCCTCAGCCTCTCAAAATGCACCCCTTTACTTTGGAAGGATAATTTCACTGGATATAGAATTAGACGTTGATGGGTGATTTTTATTTCAGCACCTAACATATTCCACTCTCTTCTTGCCTGTTTGGTTCCTGATGAGATGTCTGCTGAAATTGTTACCCATTTTGCTTTATAGATAGGTGTTCATTTTACTTTTCCTTCTTTTAACATGTTCCAATTATTTTGTTTTCTGCAGTTTATGTCTGTGTGTGTGTGCGTGCATGTGTGCAGGCATGCATGTGTGTGTGTGTGTTGGTATTTATTCTTCTTGGAGTTCTCTGAGCTTCCTGGATCTCTGATTTGGTGTCTGTAATTAATTTTGGAATATTCTTGAACATTATTACTTTCAAATATTTTTCCAGCTCTGACCTGCCTTCCGGTGTTTCGGTTACACATGTGATAAACTCTTTGGAACAGCTCGCTGGTTCTTGCATGCCATGTGTTTGCTTGGTTTTCATTTGTTTTTCTCTTTGCATTTCAGTGTGGGGACATTCTACTGACATAGCTTCAAGTTTTATAATTTTTTTTCTTCAGCTACTCCATTCTACTGATGAGCCCATGACAGACCCCCTTCATTTTGTTGCAATGTTTTTAATTGTTCACATTGCCTTTTGATCCTTTGTTAGTTTCCATCTCTGCTTCTGTTATGCATCTGTCCCTGTGTACTGTCTACTGTTTCTGTAAGAGCCCTTAAACTATTAATTCTAATTATTTTAAATATTGTTTGCTCCTTCCAGCATCCACATCATATCTCAGTCTGGTTCTGATCACTGCATTGTCTTCTCTTTGTTTTCCTTGGTGTTTGACACACCTCTTTGTTGTTGTTGTTTTGTTCTTGTTGTTGTTGTTGTTAGCCAGACATGTTTTACTAGATAAAAGGAACTAAGGTAAGTGACCTTTAGTGTGAGAATTCATGTTACTCTGTCTGGAAATTGGGCAGTGCTTAAAGTTTGCTGTAGCTATGGGTGCTGGGGGCTTAACATTCTCTAATGATCTGGTTTTCTATTTGTTTTTGTTTCTGTTTGGTGTGTTCATTGGCTCTGCCTCTCCCAGGGTGGGTGTCTTGCAGCTCCTTCAGTTGTCCTCCATGGTAGTTCCCTTGGAGTCCTGGTGGTGTGGTGGGAAGGTTGGGGAGGGAGAGCATCTGTAATCCTCTAATTAAATCTTGGTGTTGGTGACAGCCTGTGTTTTGGGCCTGTGACCTCCCAGGGGTCTGTCTGCAGATGTAGCTTCCCACCTTATCCCCACCCCTCCTCCCTTCCTTGGCTGCAGCATTCCCCGTCTATGTCCCTGAAGTCTGCTCCCTGTTGACAGTTCTTTCTGTCAGGTGATACAGAAGTGAGAGGGAGCTAGAGGGGACAGAACACCCTTCCCCGAGCTGGGATAAGATTCTGGTAGTCTTTTCTAGGAAAATTAAGCCTCTATTAAGGAGAAGGGTGTAGGCATGTTTTACAATGATTCCTCTCGCCCTCCTCTGCTAGAGACATAAAGATAGCTTTCTCATATATTCACTGTGAAAACCTGGTGAGGTTCCTGGAGGTGAAGACTTTCCATTTCCACAAGTTTCTCATCCTCTAGCTAGTTCACATTCATTTTCAGCAATTTATCAAAATCAACATTTAAGCCTTTCTACCAGTGTGTGCTCCAGCAGCCTGTACTCCAGGGCTGCAGCTCACCACTGTGTCTCTCTGGGTACACCTGTCCCTCCAGATTTTGGGGTAGCATTTTGCTTTGCATCTCAGTTCTCTACTGAGTTCAAGAAAAGTCATTGCTTTTCAGGTTGTCCTGCTTTTTCATGTAAGGATAGGAGTGAGACCCCAAGCTTTTTCCATTTACAAATGAAAACCAGAGTCTCCGTTGCCCTTGCAAGGAGGAAATACCCCTCCCTGCAAGACCCTGAGCCCTGCAGTGAAGACCTCTGGGTCCTTCCCTCCTTTTGAGCTGGGAGGATTGCACCAGAAGACACCACATGCCCTTTCTGTTGGTTTCTATTTCCTTTCTCTTATCCATTTAATTTTTTAGAACTGACTTATTCTATCTGAATAGTAATAAAGACATCATTTTTTCCTAATGCTGCAATGTTTAGATGTTCCACTACTATATTCTGGGTAGAATACTTGTTACTAAACTTCCTCTGCAACTTTTCAACTTTAATGTTTCTATTCAAAGACCATGTGGCTTTGGGTGGCTGCACTGTTTCAAAATATTTCCTGGATTTTAGTCTTTTAGTGATTTCTTAAGTTTACAGAACAAGATTGATGAAATTTTTTATGGGCGAGCTCTTTGAATCTTTTCCTGATGTTAATTTTTAATAATTTCATTGATTTGTATACGTTTTGAAAAGACCCATGGCATGTGGAGCATATGGGAGGAAGCTTCGGTTAAGTGTTCATCAGTGAATGAGGACGTGTGTGTATGTCTGGAAATTGGGCAATCATGCTATAGGGTACCGAGAATGCAGGAGACACAGGGCTCAAGCTGGAATTTCCAGGCAGAAGGGCAGTGGAGACACCAAGTCCCAGCCTCTTAGCACCCCATAAAGAGACCTGTTTGGGCTTCAGTCTGGTTGGAGGCTTTCTGCTCCAAGAGGAAGACATCAGTACCCTATTGATCTTTTTTGATGGGGTTGCTGTGATGGTCACATTGCACAGGCAGAATGCTTAGTTACAGACAATCTGGACTTATGTACATCAATCACTGGTAAAGTCATGTGACTAGTTCATAAAATCCATGGGGCATATGAGGAAGTTGCCGCCCCACAGGCCAGCAGGAGGATGCCTGCCTGAGGCTCTGTTCAAGCACACCTCCTCCCAATGGGACAAAGGCAATCCATGTATCTAGCTGCAAAGCAAACCAACCAGGGCGAGTCCTGATTCCACCTGCTTCTCGTTACAAGTGGAACTTTGTCCTTCTTTCTGAGGCTCACCCTGTTTTGCCTCCTGAACCTTGGTGGGAAATCAGGCCTTGCTTCCCAGACCTCCTTGCAACTGGCTTCTCAGCCCTTGAGACCACACACTCTGGACTTTACAATGGAGCTGGTGATACCTGGACAGGAATAACCCAGAGCCCTCTCCTTCGTGGTGGCTGGTGGCCACGGTTGGTGGTGTTCGGGGACGCAGCAGGGGCTTCAGGAACAGCGAGCATCCCAGGACAGCAGAGCTGTGCTGGGGGCAGGAACTGGATGCAGTGTCATGGTGAGGGAAACACAGTGGTATCTCCTCAGAAGGGCAGTAGTGTCCTCCACATATCAACTTAGTGACATTACTGGGGGCATTGCCACTGCTCGAGGAGCTTCCAGCCTGGTGCATCTTTACAATGGTTGACACAACTGTGCAATGATGGAAGAGATTCCACATGGAGCCAGTAATGAAAAAATATTTTCCTGAGCTCACACCTTATGGCAAGGAAGGACTGGACTGGAACCCTTGTCGACAGACTCTTAACCATTTAGGCTTCATTTTCATCTGCAGTCTTTTTTTAGTAATAGCAAGGTTTTTTTTTCTCCCCACTTCTTCCAGCATTTTAGCCATTTTTCAGTGTTTGGTTTGCTCTCAGCATGGGTCAGAAAGAGCTCCTGAAGCATGTCAACCCCTTGGAAATAACTCAATTAATATTAAACAAATAAAACATTTTGCACCAAGTATATACTGAGATAGCTATATTTTGTCCTTGATAAAGTTATAGAATAAAATGAAGATAAATAGCATGGAGGTTATAATATATATTAAACCACTAAAATATCTCATCTCATAATTCATCATCAGCAAAACAGAATGTCGACTTTTGAGCTTAACTTAAAATAGGCGTTTCTTTTACACATTTTTATTAAAGCAAAGATAGTGCAGTTAAAAATAATTTAATTTATGTTAGAAAAATATGTTTCACAAATCTTAGATTAAAATTAGGGATGATGTGTTGAAATCAAATTATTCTACAGAAGGTTGAAATCAATAGCTTAGCTATTTAAATTAATTTAATGTCACAAAAAGTGCAAATTTTCTTTAAAATCTTATCAGAGGAGTTCCAACTAACGAAGAGAAGATAAGACGACACTTCTTGGTCTGTTAGTAGTTAGCCTCAAAACTTCTCTATGATATGAGCACCATAATCTGATCATTTAGAACACTGCTTCACCCCTGAGGCCTCTTTCACAGCCATAGTAGGGAGTATCCTTGTGGAAAACAGACCACAAATTTAGGTAGAGGCATTTGTGAGATACATGAAGAGAGTGGTGCAGGGAGGGGTGTTTCCCATTAGAAATCCCCATGCTAGCAGGTGGTGAGGGGAGACACCAGGTAAGGGCTTCCATGCAGCCTCAATATTAGCATTCTCACTGGTTGGGCATCAGGGGCATGGCTGGGCTCCAGCTTAAGGGTTGGGCTGCACCCTAGCAATGCAACCAGGCTTCTGCAGGGGACCAGAAAGGACCTCCATCCATGACATAGGCAGAAAATGAACAGTTGTGGGGAATCCACAGGGTTTGGAGGGCAATTCCAGTGTCTGCTTTGATATCTATTTCCTGATAAATGTAATGAGAGAACAATAATCTTGAAATGTATGAAACAAAATACTGCAGAAGAAAGTGAAGAGAGTACTTTTGTCATTGCTGTAAAGAAAAGCGCATCTCCGAGAACATTGTAAAGCAAGGCATCATAAAATAATTTCAGCAAGCTGTTTGACTTCCTTAATAGAATAGAAGAAGGCATGGCCCCTTGGAATAAGACCTCAAAATGCTAAGAAGAGAATAAGTTTGGATGAAAAGAAAGTGTAGTACAATGAATGAAAATCAGACAGGAGGCAGGACTGAAAGCTCAGGTTAAAGAGGTCTGGATTAAAATAGCATAGGTTACATGGAAGCAGAAACGTTAATGAGCAAGATCAAAACCTCACTGGAGATAGAATACATAGATATTTGATGTGGAAAATGTTAACACTTGAATAGATCCCAAACTTCAGTTCCTCTAAGAAAGCAGAGGAAAATTAAAACCATCGAAAATGATGACAGACAAACTGACATATAGATATTGAAGGCTTGAGCAGAGACCCACATCAACAATGTATTTATGGAAATAAAACCTGGACAATTACAGTAGAAGGAAAAAAAAGAGAATACATTGGAATATAACTCATGGAGACTGAGGGAAAAGAAAACCTTAGTCATATTCTAAAATATTCCAAAGTATAATTTTGATTTTCTATCTTTACTTACTGAATGTTTGAAAATGTTTTTATGTATTATTTAAAATTTATGATATTTTCAAGTTTTTATGGCATTAGAGAAATTTTGGCTGGGAAAATTCTTCTACAAATCAAATTTTAAAAATTTTATTTAATTTTATTTTTACTTAAAAATAAATTGATGCTGAAGAAATGATTCATGCTGCTCTGTGGCAGCCAGTGCTTTGCTTTTTCCAGGCAGTTTGTGACTTCAGGTGGGGGCCTGTGACCAGCCTCCACTAAGAAAATGGGAGATGGAACCAGAAAGAGCCACAGTCCACGTTGCCATGTCCCAGCTGTCCTGTCTTAGAAACCATGAGGTAAGCGTCTGCTGCTGATGCACACTGCAAGCCTTACTCACACGAGGAGAGTAAACTGTCTTTGTACTAAGCCACACAGATTCTAGTCTTCTTGCCATGACATAACTTAGCCTGACTAATATGCATGTTTAGTGCAGAACTCCTGAAAAAAACCACAAATTTCTCAAGGAAAAATCTATAATCCCATCTCCCAACAATAAGCTTCATAAATATTTTGGTGTATTTCTTTAATGATCTTTATTTGCATATACATACATACTAGCTATGAATTAAAATCTGGTTACTGCCTTTTTATTTGTTCATAAGTATTTTCCAGCTCCTCGATTTTAATATCTGTCTAGCCTCTCATCACATAGGTATAAATCACTTAGCTTAAGCAAAGAGTTTCTTTGGGTTGGCTTTTAATGGTTTCAAGGTTTCTCTAGAAAACCAGTTCTGCTGCCCTGTGAAGAGCTCTGAGGACTGTGTTTTCTGTGCCAGAGACAGACAGGGCTGCTCCTTTGTGCGTCTCTGCTCCACAGCCCCCTTTCTGGGCTGCTGACTGCCTGGATCTTAGCTTGGGCTATAATGGCCCATCCTGATGCTTTTGTTGTCGGAGTCATTTTGTTCCTTCCACTGACACTCCTCAGGCTCACTTTTGAGCCATGCTGTCATCCCCTTTCAATGCAACGTATAGGCCTTTTGGTTCTTCTCCACCAAATACCAAATGCAAGTGTAGCTTGTGGTTACTCTCAGTCTCTATTTTTGCTCCTCTGAGTTATTGCAGAGAAATGTGACGAGATCCCTCCCTAGAGTCTCTGACAGGATGCCCTATAATTACCCCTCTGATTCTGTATCTCCCTTAAGATGATCCAGCCCAGAGCGGGCATTTGTCCTTGCTGTCACCTTGCTGGCTGACCCTCCCTCTGTCTGCCTCCCTGTCCCTCCTCCCATCTTCCCTGTAATCTCCTGGGTCTCCTTCCAGGCCTGCCCCTTTTCCTTCCCTTTTCCCTGAGGTTGTACCAGCAGATGGGATGTGCAGAGACAGGAAGGGGCTTATTAGTAAGTCAGGAGAATATATATTTTATTCATTGCACATAAAATCTTATACAAATAACATAATGACAAGTTTTGTAAATATTTTTAGAGTGTCTTTTGTTTTCCTTCCGTTTTTTCTGCAGGGAGTTCCAGGTACCCAGAATAGTTTCTTCAAATACGTATCTCTGATTATTGTTTTCCCAACTCTGATCGAGTGTAATGCAGTTTCCCAAATCTCCTCTTGGTTGATGATAAGAAAGACATACTCTGGTGAATTCTTATAATTTTATGTTTCTTCAGCATTGATTTTGAGTGCAGGTTTGACTTTCTCATACCAGAAGCAGGGCTCTATCACCCTTGACACATATTCCATTTCTATACTACACCACATGGCTCAAGCCGGTGCTCATAAATAAACACTTAGAGGCATCTCTCCTGTCTAGCAGACTGGGCACCCCACTTTCCCAAAGCCTCCCTTAATGGGACCATTTGGGCATTTGCTCATGAACTTAAAAGTGTCCCACATCCTTTTCCCTTGTATATGCTGCTATTTGCCTCTCTCTCTCTCTCTCTCTCTCTCTCTCTCTCTGCCTGATTCTCCACTCCTGCCTCCCCTAACCTGGGGGCAAAGGACTGCCCTCCCCACTCACAGAGCCCTCCTGGACTAGGGCCTCTTAGTAAAATCTGTGAGCACGTTTCCTATTGTGGTGGTGTATTGAATTTCCACCTTCCATTCGAAGGGGATGCCCCAGGCCAAGGGTTCCCTGGGAAGGGGAGAACACAAGGTCAGTCTCCCAGTGCAGAGGAAAGGTCAGGCAGGCTTACTCTGGACCCAGGTCAGACAAGAGCCACAAGAGTGTCTGCCAGTCTAAACAAGTTTCCTGTCTAAGAGATCCCCTGGTAATGGGTGGGACCACTAGACATTAGGCTGTCTACCAGGTAAAAGAAGTACCCCATGAAGGCACCCTGTATATTCCCACATCCAGCTCCTGTGCATTTGTTAGGGCAAGATTGCTAGCTGCTTTGATACTAAAACCCCAATTTAGCTGGGAGCTTTAAAAACCCACCCTTTCCTCACACTCATTAAGTGTTTTATAGCCCATCACTTTAGAGATGGAGTTTGAGTGGATGCACCAGCCAAAAACATGGGAAAAGATTTATTGTGTGAGCCTCATTGTTTTTGGTTTGTTTTTGTCTGTTCTATTTCCCTGATAAGAGCTAGAAACTGCTGTTTATCCTAAGAGAAATTTCTTAACATCCTGTCCTTTGAGTTCAATTTCAGATCTCATAAAGATCTGAAGATAAAATCTAAGTTGAAAAATAGGTGAATAGTATCTTCTTCTTCCTCAAATGTAATTAGTGATGCCACACTCAGTAATATACAATTTACTGGTATTGAGCCTCTTTCTGGATATCTTATCTTTGGAAATTTTTCTTGCAATACTTTCTACTGAGTTTAAAAGTAAAGATAGGTCACTGTGTTTGCCTCCCACTTATGGGAATCAGGTGGCAAAATTATTTAAGCTTAATGGCACACTTATTTAAGCTTAGAAATAGAATGAGCAAAGTGTGCCTTATACCTTCCCAATAACTGCTAAGATCTAATGAGAGTGATGTCCCCCATGGTCCCCAAGAGAGACAAGTGAATCCACCCCTGCCCAGGCTAAGAGGATTCCTCTGCCTTTTTGTGCTCCTGAACAAATGAAAAGCTTCAAGTTTGATTTCCAATAAAATTTTAAAATATAAATTTGCATACATTTTCAACTTATTAGATACTGGATCATTTTCTAGTATATTTGTGCATAAGCACTTATTTCTATAATTATTTTCTTTTAAGTATAGGTAATAAAACCCAGGAATTCGGGGAAAGGGTGATCTACACAATGATGATTAGTTCTTATTTCAAAATGTGTATTAGGGCTATTTCCAAATATGTTTTAAAAGCACCAGACTGGAGCCAAAGATGAAAGGGAAGTCTTATTAGTCTGTACTTGTTTCTCGCTGAGGTTGATGGAGACAGAGCAAGACTGCAGCTGGGGACACCCACGTGTGTTTCTCCAGAGGAAGGTTTTCTGCATGATGACTAATGTCTCACACATGTTTAGGGAATTCTATGCATTAGAGAGGAATGAAAACAGAAAAATGAGGGAATCATGGGATCAGGCTTTACGTGTTTCGGCATGCTTGCCAATAGAAAACTGACAGTGAAATCATGAAGTTGATACTTTATTACCTTTGTTATCTGCATGAGACATGTATAAGCAAATGAGACAACCTACTGACAACATGGGCTTCCCTGGTGGTTTGGCCAAAATAGCTTTTTTTTCCTTAAACTTTCATCTCTATTTTAGAAAGTTACAGATTACTTGAGCCAGTCCTGCTGTTTTGCTTCCTGCGATGCTTAGGTTCAGGACTCAGGTGACGTGACATTTCTGGACAGGGCTGGGCCTACCCACAGGATGCTGCTTTGCTAACCCAGGGCTCTCTCTTCTGCCTTGGCCAGGAAAACTATGACCTTACCTGCTGCTCAGCCTATGAGACCTAAGTTTTACTTAGTAATATTTTGGGGGAAAACTAAAATCTTAATTTAGACATTATGAACATTAATATGACAAATTATGGAATGATATGAAAAGATGATACACTCCACACTTACTACTACTGAATGATTTCCAAAAAATACCGAATAAACCGTATAAACAATTCATTTAAAAATGTGATTAATTTTTAAACTTCAACATTATTACAATTTCTACATCTCTGAAAAGCAATAACTAAAGTTAAGTATATTGAGTAATTTTTCCATGTCATAAAAAATAACTAAAAAAAGTTAAAAGGAGGCAGAGGTCATAGAAGGACAGAGGAAGCGGAGTCAATGTGTAGTGTTTCCAT
The DNA here is from genome assembly GCF_000001405.40 of Homo sapiens. Classification (NCBI taxonomy): domain Eukaryota; kingdom Metazoa; phylum Chordata; class Mammalia; order Primates; family Hominidae; genus Homo; species Homo sapiens. The sequence goes on along the minus strand of NW_025791781.1, from coordinate 103,119 downwards.
TCGGCACCTGGTATAATCAAGCACATCTTTCTAAGTGTGAGTCAATTCCATTAAAAAGAATGATTCTAACACTAAAACTGCAGCAAGTCAGACTCCCTTCCAATAGCGTGGTCTATTTGTGGAATTCTGGTGTCAGTAGTTTGGCGTTCTCTTCTCTGCTGTTCCAGATGACCTTTTTGGGTCTCTCTTGAGGATGGATGCTTCTGTGTCACAGACACCAGGGGGAAGAGAAAGCAATCGTTCCGCTGTGTGTCTGTCCTAATTCCCGACATCTGCAGACCCAGCTGAGAGCACCTGGATTCTTATTAGCTATAAGACTTGGAGACAACTATAAACTAAAAGGCACAGTGTTGTGAAATTCGAAGCGCAGGTACCCTCCATAGAGTCATAGTGCTTGTTAGTGTGTAACATGCATATTCGAGTCCCTGTAATATTAAGCCAAATGCTGTGGTGTGATTCAGGGACTGCATTACAGATGCATCTTTACAGTCATGAGAAAACTAAGGAATCTGTGTATTTTCAGTGAAATTTCTGTATTCACCTTCCTCTCCTATTTAGAACATATCAAAAGCGAACATTCCATTGGCAGTAGAGGCTGAAAAATGAAAGGCCAAACAAATGAATGGGCCATGAATGTTGCCAAAAAAAATCTCAGAGTGTGATATGGAAATCTGATGCCTTTTTCTATAGAAATGTTAAAGAAGAGGGTAACACAGTCAAAACTGTGTAAGTCTGTTTAATCTTCAACTTCTTTTCAAAATGAAGTTACCAAGACTCAAAGACAAAATAATTTTCTGAAATTTTACCTTTTAAATATGCACATACGCAAAACTGTGAGGAAGAGCAGATGGAAAAATAATTGAACATATATGACAGAGAGTTGATTACCATATATGTTACATCTGGATGCATTACATATCAATGAGGAAAGATAAACTCCATCATAAAAGCTGTCAAAAGCTGTCAAAGACAAATGTAAGTTCACCCCCAAAATTACCCGTTCTATGAAAAATTTCCAATCTTATTAACAAGTTCTGAACTCACTAGAACAATAAGATCTTAGGAAAATCAATTATGGGAGATAAAAATAAAAACGACTAATATTGTTTTTAAGAAATATCTCTTATTCATGTGAGGAACTGCACACACTAGGATGCTATTTTTGGTGTAAATTGTAACATTTACAGAGGATGTTTTGCAAATCAATTTGAAACCCTCTCACTTATTTATACATTTGATGGGGCAATTTTACTTACAGAATAGTTGTAAATATCACAAAGGTTATATACAAGTAGATTCATAAAATATTTCTCATTTTTTATGGTAAGAAAGTATTACAAACCTAAATAGCCAGTAATAAGGGCTTGAATCACTCATGATGACCATAAACTATGGTGTAATTTTTAAATCATGGGATGACTTAGGATGATTCTAGATTATTTAAAATGATGACATGCTACATTGTGAACAAAATAAATTTTAAAAGTAAAGGTAATATATAAATCCTATTCATTATGTTTTTAACTCATATGTTTTAGAATTATGTTGTTACGTATATAAAAGTTCATAATTATATATCTTCACCTGTTGGTTTTATAGCCTATCAGAATTACATCCACATAATTTGGCTAAGGGAAGTACAAAACTTCCCTTAGCTAAACTCTGTTTGTAGAATAAATGTTACGCTTTCTAAACCAGATCATCTGAGGACAGAAAGAGCTTGACGGGAGTCATTCAAATGTAAAATACACAGTTCAATGATCTTACACAACATCTAAGAACAGATTTGAGTATTAGTGAAATTGAAGCTGAAGTTGTAGCCCTAAACATTCAGATTCAGAGGGCATGGGTTAGGACCTAGCCATTTTATAGCCTCGTCAAGTGATTCTGTAGTCTTAAAAAGGTAAAATAAATGAAAAATAAGTGAAACACACTGTGCTAGATGATTTCAGGTAGAACCTAACACAGTCGACCTCTCTTTTCCAAGTAGTTGTATAAATACTTAGAAGCCGCCTTTAACTAATTTTCACAGCTCACATAAGTACAAATGCTGTTAGTAACCATGGAGCAAAGATGATAGTAGATTTCATACACTTGTGGAATTCTTACCGCATCTCCTAGAAGACCTCTTACAGGGCCTGTGGTTTAGAGACAGGAAAGACCTACTTCTTTCGCAAAAATTTTCATGGTAAGGACTCCACCGGGACTCAACTTCTCTCATATGTTAAAATGCTCATTCAGGCTAGATGCATCTGTTGGTTCAGGCTTAAAAAAATAGATATAAGATTGCAGTTTATATGATGAAGGGTATTTTGAAGCATCAAATATCAACTCTAGCTATTTACTCATACCTGGGCTATTCTCACTTCATACCGTGAATAATGGTGAAAACTTAATTTTATCCTAAAATCAAGAAAGTAACTTTAACAAGTGAATTAAGTGCTAGTTTATTTTGGTGGAACTACTCTGTTGGAGAATATTTTCTCATGAGTCTACTTCCTTTATGAAATGTTGTTAACATCTTACTGCAGATAAACTTGGTCTTGCCTCCTTTAGTTCCCATAAAGATTTTTCTGGACCCAGCGTGGTGGCTCACGCCTGTAATCCTAGCACTTTGGGAGGCTGAGGCAGGTGGATTGCCTGAGCTCAGGAGTTCGAGACCAGCCTGGGCAACATGGCAAAACCCCCATCTCTACTAATATACAAAATACGCCTGGCATGGTGGCGTGCAGCTGTAATCCCAGCTACTCAGGAGGCTGAGGCAGGAGAACCACTTGAACCTGGGAGGCAGAGGTTGCAGTGAGCCAAGATTATGCCACTGCACTCCACCCTGGGCGATAGAGTAAGACTCTTTCCCGCACCCTTCCCCCCCAAAAAAAACACAAGAATTTTCTGCACCTCAGTTGTGAACCTCATTCTTAATCTGTTTTATATCATGTCAGCTCAAATCCTGCTGGGTCTCATGGATATTTTCCCTCGTTCTCACCTCTATGTATGACAACAACTAAAATGAAAGCCCTTTGAAGGCAGAACCTTTGTCCAATGTCTGTCTGTGTGCCCTTGATATGGCAGCAGAATGACTTTACAGTAGTCAGTGAATGTATATTAAATTTGGTTAACATATGCTTGGGTTTAAAAAGTATATTTGCCCAATTTAAAATAAGTGTGAATAAGTTATAGTCTCATTCAAAATCTATAACCTCGACTTTAGAAGCCGAAGTACTTTAAATTCATACAATAAATCCCTAGAAAGGGTTATAAATGCAATGGGAAATTTTATGCAATTTTATTTTCAGAGCCAGAGAATAGTTTTTCTTCATTTGGGACTCTGGATTATACAATATTGTGACTGGAATTATAGGTCAGAATCCAACTACGACTACAATTATAGGCAACAATCTTATGAAATAATTATGTAATTTTTCCCCAGTAAAGGAGATTCTAGACACTTGGAGTGAAATGGCTCATATTTGTGTAAGATAAAAATGTTATGTCATTGTGTGATTGAGATGGGATTTTTATACAGTGTCTAATCTAAATATTATAATTGAAATATTTTAAAGTAACATTTTGCTAATAGAAAAATCTAAGAAACAAACAATTCCCAATATTAAGAATATATTTAAATTAATGATGGTACAATCATGCGATGTAACATTATGTAGACTTTAATTATCGTGTTTTTTATAATGGTTAGTGGATAATGTAATACAATAATTAATAATGAAATAATTAATATGGTCTTAAATTGAAAAGTAAAAACACAGAATGCAAAACTCCTCTAATGTTCAGTGTGTGTCTTTGTGTGGGCATGCCTATAGAAAGGAAATGCACCAAAATGTTTGCAATGTAATTTTGAGTGTTGGGATTATCAATGAGTGAGGTTTCTTCTTTATATTTTTCTATATTTTCTAAAATTACCTTTTTATAAGAAAATACAATCTTAAAACATTTTAAAGTGGGTATCTGTAAATATAAAAATAAATATATATATATTCCAATTTGCTCTACCACTCATGCCAAACAAAAAGCTACTGTAAGATCTTTTCTATGATAACATATGGTTATCTGAAAATGATTGAATTGTATACATATAGGGTGGCATTCTCAGCTAAAATTTCTTGGTAATGTTAAGTATCCCTGGAATCATATTACTGCTGAGTAACTACAGCCTTAGTTACTATAACAAATAAATCAACAGTAAAACAAACAAACACACAAAGCCCCCACAAAACCCACATAATGCCTTCTATTTGACGTATGAATACCTGTAGCTATTTAAATATACTGTGTTAGCAATGTGTACTTTCTACAAACTGCATAGCTTATATGTGTAGTGACTTTTTTGCAATAACAGATGGTTTGGAGTAGACATCATCAAAATTAATATGTAACTCTAACTCCTATCACACAATATATTTTTCAATTATCAATTTGTTAATACATACCTGAAGTCATTTAAGTACTACTAATAAATCTGGGAATAAAATATCTTCTAATATTGTATATCTTTCTTCCAAGATCATTTTGTAACCCAGTGTATGCACAGTCTGAGAAATATTTCACGTTGAAATTGTAAGGATTGGTTTGAATTGCTGTTGCAGTTCAGTAGTTTAATTTTTCATTATTAGTTTATAAAAAGAGGAATTCACCATTGTATAGGTGATACAGCTAGGTGAGGCGAGTGCAATATATTTATGAAAGGGTCTACTCACACTTCCTAATTTCAAGTCTTAACTCTGTCACTGATTTATTATGTTTCTCTTTTAAAAAATGAGATTAATTACAACAGTTACTTAATAATATTTCTTGATGATTGAACACAATTATACATTTAAAGCTATATCAGAGTCATTGGCATATAATAAAATTTGATGAAAGCTTCTAAAAATATTCAACATCAGGGCAATTTTGAATATTGCCAAGCAACAGGTCCAGTTTGGGAATTCTTAGAAGGCAATGTGCAGTTACTAAAACTGCTATCATCAAAGACATTTCAGCAATATTTCTAAGAACTTCTGATGATATTATTGATTGTATGAGGAAAAGTAAGCTCTCTGAGGACAGGGCTGGTTCTATGTGCCATCCACTTCATTTTTGATTTTAACATACAGGTATCGAGTGCAGACTATGTGCTAGATATTCTGCCAGGTCACAAGGGTTAAAATATCTAAAACACAGCTCCTGATTTTGGGGAGCTATCAGGCAAGTTGGAAAACTAACTTTTAAATCCTCAATTACAGAAAAGAGTATGAGATTCATTGGGTATTAGGCATTTTTAATGTGAAGTCATGGGTTTCAGTGGCCTGCTCCTTCTCAGTTCACTCTGTGGGAAATGGGGATCAGAGGACTGAAATTTGAAAATGCTGACACTCTGACTGCTCTTATTTCTATGGCTTTAAGTTCTTTGTCTAAAATCCAGGACTTTCTTTTCTTCTGCCAAAGTCTGTGAAACTGAGGCAAGCTAATATTTTAGCTTACAAATTGAGTGAAATCTTAGACCCTTCACAGTTCCTGACACATTTTTTTTTTTGGCAATCAAAAGATATTACTTTACAGGAACCTAAGCAGCAATCTACACTCAGACATTTCCTTTCTAGGATATGAATCTTAAAAAAATCTTCTTGAAATTGGCACACAGCTCTCAAAACAAATACCTGCTCCTCAGGACATACCCTATAGGACTGGTTTTTCACATTAGAACATTTATCTAATCTGGATTTGCCATTGGATTTCAATTATCTCTGGATGAGATTTAGTTTAAAAATAAGAAAATATAAATCTCCATCACAAATCAAAATTTTACTAGATTAGAAGCATTTCAATTTGAATAATTTTGTAAAACACAGTGTTCTCATTTTAAGCCATTTTCTCAGCAACATTGAAATTTCATCATACAGAAAATGTTTTCATTCTGTGAAACCAAAGGGCAATTTTGTTTGAAATGATGGAAAACCACAAAGGAAACCATGCATGGAAGCGAGGTTAGGGTAATGCATCTTTGCAGCACGAGCTTGGATGCAATGGAACAACTGTTCACCCCCCAAAATCAGCTTAGGGACCCTAGAATTTAAACAAACTATTTTCAACAACATGTTCCTTGAAATAATTACCTGTTTTTCACCCTTATTTCTATAATGGATTAGTGACACCCTCAGGCTTTTGTAACAAATCGCAGAATCCATATTTCAGCACTTTACAGATTTCCAAAGAAATGACAAAACTGAAACAGAAATGAGTAAGCGCAGAAAGCTCCAGAGAGAGGAGTGGCAGCAAATTCATCATACCATTAGCTGTCATATTTTAACTAAGAAAAGTCCCCAGGCATCCTCCTCAGGATACCCTTTATGGTGTATTTTTGCATACTTTCAATATATATTTAAATAGAGGTTAAATACATGTGTAGATATGGTCCCCAACTGACAACGGCTTGACTTAGATTTTGCAGCTTTATGATGGTGTGACAGTAATGCTCACTCTGTAGACACTGTACTTTGAGTAATCATACAACCATTCTGTTTTTCACTTTCAGGGCAGTATTCAATAAATTATGAGATATCCAACATTTTGCTATAAATAGGGTTTGTGTTAGATGGTTTGCTCCACTGTAGGCTAATGTAAGTGTTCTGAGCATGTATCATGTTTGGTAAGTTAGACGTCTTGAACGCATTTTTGACTTACAATATTTTCAACTGATGATGAGTTTGTTAGGATGTAACTCCATTTTAAGTCAAGGATTTTATAAATATATGGATTATGTGTATGTGTATACATGTATATATATATATATGCATTGAACTTACTGTGATGTTTCTAAGTTCTTTTGTTCTTAAACCTTTCTCCTTATATTTGAGAAGAATTACAATTTAACCAGACTCAAAGGCTCCGTGTCAATTTTGACTTTTCTATTTTTCTCATCAGCCAGCAAATAGTCCTAGAAAAAGTGAAGGTGCTTTAGAATTCAATGAGTACAGTATCTTTGTTTCATACTCAGGGTAACTAAAACCCAAATATACTGAAGTTATTTTCCCACATATTGCTAATATGAATTTTTTTCTCTGTGACTGGCTGTATCTCTGACTCTGGTTTTCTGGTCTCAAAATTCAACCTCTGGATCTGTTTTCTAACTTTAAATCTTGATTATATTATTGTTGAGAAAATAATAAAAATATGAACCTCTGAATACCATCACAATATCAATTTAACAATTTATGTGGAATAAATTAAAGGTTTACTTCTCGGAAATAGAAAATTATACAGATTCAAAGATTAATTATGTGCATTATATATGGATCATATCTTGACTTACGGGGGATTGTAAGAACACTAGGCACCTCAATCAGTAAAAGGAACATGAAAAAGACAGATTTTTAAATTTTAAAAATTCTAATATTATTTCAAACCTACTGGACATTTGCAAGGCTAGCACAAAAATCCTCAAAGTCCTTTCACCCACATTCCCCAGTTGTCAGCACCTTATTTGCTTGATTCTTTTTTCCAACAATACAGTCTGGTATCGATATCCATGCAGATACTTTGTTTTTCAGTCATTTGAAAGAAACTTACAGATATGATGCCTCTTTACAGTTAAATAAATCAGTGTGCATTTTCTAATAACAAGGATATGTTCATAAATAACGACAGATAAACTCTCACAATCAGGGAATTACTGTTTATTCAGTACTTTTTCTAATGTGAAGTCTTTATTCATATTTCACCCATTGTCCTACTATTGTCCCATTGTGTATTTGTTGTCTTTATAGCAAGAAGGAATCCTGGATTTCATGCTGCTTTCCATTATTGTGTCTGCTTTACTTTAAACAGTTCTTCAGTCTTGTTGACATGGGCATTTTTGGAGAGTACAGGGTAGTTATTTTGTAGACTCTCTCTTCCATTTGAGCTTGTCTGACATGCTCTTATGATTAAACCCAGGTTATCCATTTTTTGAAAGAATTGTTTTCCTCTGTGCATCATATCAAGAGGCATGTAACATTGAGTTGTCTAATTGCTGGTGAAGTAAACCGCAATCACTTGGTTAAGGTGGCGGCTCCCCGGAATCTCTATTGTAAAGTTACCACTGCTTTTCCTTTTTTAATGTCTAAGTGTCTTTTGGGTAGATACTCTGAGTCTATAAATACCCTCTTTCTCCTTGAATTTTCACTCATGGATTTGCATCCACCAATGATTTTTGACCAATTTAATAATTATTAATATATTGTACTCCTAGATATTAAGATATTATAAAATTATAGAAGTACATTAATTAGAAGCATGTTATATTGGAACATGGATAGACAAGTAGACCAATGAGACAGGGTTAAGATATAGACCCACAAGTATATGGTCACCTGGTTTATGCTGGATGACCCTGCAGTCCAGTAAGAAAAACATGATCTTCAATTAAATAATTCTGGATCAACTGGATAGACTTACAAGGAAAAATAAATGTTTCCAACCTGACATCATACACAAACATCAATTCTATGGCTATAGATCAAAATGTGAAGGTAAATCAATGAACCTTTTTTAAAAAAAATAAACTGGACTGTAGTATACTTAGGTAGATTTGTAGATTTGTACCTACTTTTTAAATACTTTTAATAGTTTTTGAAAAACAGGTGGTGTTTCGTTACATGGATAACTTCTTTAGTTGTGATTTCTGAGATTTAGTGCACCCATGATCACCTGAACAATGTACACTGCACCCAATGTGTCGTCTTTTATGCTGCACCCCCCACTAGGAAAACATAGCAGGTTATTTTCCTTCTCTTGGGGTATGAAATGTTTTGTCTTAAAAAAAAAACTCAAGAGATACTAAACATAAGGGAAAAATTAGGTAAATTGAGCTCCGTGAATTAAGGCTTTCTGTTCACTATTATCAAGGCAAGCCACAGAGTTGGGCAAAGTATTGAAGAACACATATCGAAGAAAAGAGTGTTCAAGTTTATGTGAAGAACTTCCCCGCATCAGTGTGGCAGACAACTGAGTATACAAAAGGGCAAAACGATTTGAGTACTCCCTTGACAAAAGAGGGTAAAAAAATGATAAAAAATGTTTGCAAATGTGCTCAGCTCATTAGTCATCGGGGCATGCTAATTAAAACCACAACAAGACACTCCTACTCACCTGGCAGAATGGCTAAATTAGTGACATTGCCGTAGCATGAATTGGTGAGTGAAGCAACTGGAACTTTTCTATACTGCTACTAGGAGTCTAAATTGGCACAAACAGTTTGGGAAAATATTTGATAGTTTCTACCAAAACTGAACATATGTGTAGTACATACACACCCAACAGAATTGCTACAAAAATGTTCATGTACAAAAGTGTTTGTAGCACCTCTATTCATAGTTGCTGAAAACTGGAAAAAAATCGAATGTGTAACAACACTAGAATAAATAAGCTGTGGAATATATAGAGAGTAGAATATTCATGCACACAGTAGAATATTATGTATCAAAGGAATATTCAATTTACTGCTATGTAACACAACATGAATAAATCTCATAAACATCATGTTAAGCAAAATATTTCCATCATACACCTAGAGACCCTACAATATGTTCTTCTATTCATATAAAGTTAAAAATCAGGTAAATCTGATTCACGAAATCTTGGGAAATGAATGACAGTTAGTGATTGGAAGCAGATGCAAGGAGACTTTTGGAAATGTTGCTAATTTCCATTCCTGTTCACCTTTTGAAATTTTATAGAGTGGAGCACGTAATTTGTGTACTTTTTGTATTTATGGTATACTTTATCAATTAATACTTTAAAGTTTTAAACATTGCTCAAAATCGTTTTTCCGTCCCCCTAGGAAGAAAGCACATCCTCCTAGAGGGATCACACTCTTTGAAGAGTTACCTATCAATGTCAAGGACTAGGCATTTTTTTACATCTCCTGACTTTTATCAGGTTCTCCTCTCATGTATTCTTTCGTACTCTACATGGTGTTTTAGAAAAGAAGTACTATATTTTTCTTTTCCATCACCTGCCTAAATCCCACCTCTTCTGCCCAAACTCAGATGCAGGGACTGGAAGCTAATTTTCCTAACCCTTTCCAAAGAAAGGTTACTCTTACCAGTTAAATCTTCTACTTCTCCCCGATCTCCTCGCTTTTCCAAACCCAAAATCTCTGTGCTCCCTATGTGCTCTCTCTGATAAACAGTCTTGGTGCATTGCTTTGCCTAGCTTTACAAAGGTCCCACTCCAAAGTAGACCACACTGACTTTTCACAACTGCTGTCCAATCAACCACCAGAAGTGCAACTGATCGTCACTGCCCTGATTCGAATGAACTTGGCTGCCGCATTTGAAATAAGAAACTTCATGAGAAATAGCAGTTTTATGGAATAAAAAGTCTCTTATTAAAGGCAATGATTTATTTTAAGTTATTTTTGTATTATTTCTACTTGCTAGGCTTCCTGGAATTTATTCCAAAATTACTAAAAGCCCTTTTCAGGGATATAGCACGGTGAAGCCCTAATGATAAGACCACTATTGTATTGATTTTCTAGAGGTCTTGGAGGTTGTGAAGGTTTATGATACGTGGAATTTAGAACATTTATCTCCTCTCATAATCACTATTTTTATATCCCTTTCTCCATATTTGTGCTTTTAGGCCAGTTATCTATATGGCCATCAGAAGGAAGAAAAAAGCGTTAGAGGAAATAAGAGAAATAAATTATATAGAACTGCATGGCTCATACAGCATTTTTCTTTTTCTGCCAATTTTTACACTAGTTCCCTGGCAAGCTGCATATGATTTTTCTTCACACTTACATTCCCCTGCTGATTTGTGTGGGGAAGTTTGAATACATTGCTTCATTTCTATGATCATTTAAAGTTTATTATGCATACTCCATTACAGATCTGATTGTTACTGAGGACTTCAATGCTGCAACTGGTGTTGAGCAAAGGAAGAGCTGTATCCCTGTGGGACACACTTAAAGATATTGAAATACTCCATAACACAAGTGGAATATATTTGATATATAAGATTTAGAAACTACGGGTATGAATAAAGGATTAAAAACATATATATACATAAAATATATATAAAATATGTGTGTGTGTGTTTGTATATATATATAAATACACCTTTCTTGATAATTTATTTTGGCACAGTTTTTTAGATTTCAAAACTGATTTGATTGGCTTTGCATTGTAAAACTTGTAAATGTCTATAAATATATTTTTATCACATAATTTCAATGTTTAGGTCACACCTCAAACCCCAGACCTATTTCTCAGTTTCTTGCAGAAAATAAAAGAAAACAATCATATGTTTAGCCTTTGTATATAATTAGCTATTAATACTACTTATACCATGAGCTGCTTTAGTCCCTAAAGTGTATTCTTGATCTTGGTAGTATGTTTCACTGGACACAGAGTTGAGTGAATCAAGAATTAGGTTTTTGGTGCTGTTTCTTACAGCATTCTTTGATTTTAATTAATTTTTTTAGTATTTTTGCTTTTAGTTTTTTTTAATGCCTTGTATAAAGAATGCAGATTTCATTGGAATAAGCTGATTGCTGGAGAAGAGTTAACTAAAGAGATGCACACCTATCCTTTTACGATTGCATTTTCCTCATCTTCTTATATAAACTATATATAGTAAATTCAAATCTGGCATATTGCTGAGGTTATAGTAGAAACTACTTTTGAACACTATGCAAAATTACAGTGCTAAATTGAAAAGAAGAGCTGGGAGCAGTTCCAACGTGTAACCCCAACTCTGAGAAAAAAGACCCTGATTTTAAATTATGAAAAAAATAGTATGACTTATGGAGAATAATACATATTAGATACTACATGAATGGTTTTCCAGGCATTCAATATTGTAAAGTGGCCATTGTTCAAAATATTATTTAGGCCTTATTTTTTATTTGTGAGTCTCAAATTTGAGGTGAGTTTTTTTTGCTCTCTCCAAGCTCAGTCCTTCTCTTATTATTTTTAAATATGCTCCCAAGCCTGGCCTATACACCATCATAACCTAATCACCATATCCAAGACACACAAGAGTCTTCTTTATTCTAACTCCAGTTTACATTCCCCCTCATTTCCCTTTGTCTAGAGAAGGTTGGAGTAATTGGGATGTAAACGACTCACCCTGCAATTGTTATGTTCTATGTAATTAGTGGTTGTCCTAGCCTAGGTCTCACAGAAAGCAGAGCCCAAGGTAAGGATTAAAAATGATTAAAAGCCACAGTCCTAGGATCTGAGAATGAAAGAAAGGGAAACAATAAAGAAAAGAGTGGAAAGCAATAAAACGTGTTCTATGACCAGGTTGACCATAGCTTCTGTTGAGACACAGAGCCCGCTGGTCACTAGTGTGGCCTCTCAATCCTGCAGGACATCATCTCTAAAAGGACCATACAGAGAAACCATATCTGGGGGAAGTCCAGGGGATGAATCTGCCTGACATCCTTCCTCCCCCATCTGGTCTTACACTGGCCCATCTTTGTCCAATTGGAGTGAATTTTCTGCTTTTCCAGACTGTGACATTTGACCAGCTTGACAGTTTCTCAGCAAGCCAGTCTCTCCTGCATCCCTACCTGTGAGGCGGTGCATCATCTGATTTGGAATTGGTGGGAACTGCCAGACACTGAGCAGGTGCAGCTGGTCCCCACCTCCACAGTGATGCACAGCAGTGGCCCAGGGGAGGACTCTCTCAGGTTAGGGGCTGATCAGAACCCTATGATGCCAGCAGAGTCAGTGACTGAGCAGCAAGTGGCTGGATTTGAGGTGGGCAGCAGCAAGAGAATTAAGAAGGCACATTGAGTGTTTCCACCTAAGCAGGTATACCTGAATTGTTTATTGTATGTCAATGTGACATCTCACTGACTTTACATATTTCTAATAACTCTGCATAATATTTTTATTCTTTGTGAAATTAAAGTGTTGCAACTGGTAAGCTGAAATCCTCCACGTATTATCTGGCACCATTTGTAGCTTTCTGACCTAGTGGCTACGTTGTTGATGAAAAACATATTTTACTTTTGCAAATGCAAGTTAATACAACTCACATCAATAAATACTGTATATATGCAAATTGCTCCCTTCTGCAGGAGATTTTCCAAGCCATACACACTTCTCAAGACTGAAATGATACTGTCAATCTCTTCACTTTTTAATCATTTTATGGAATCAGGCTAGAAGCCATCAAAGTGGCTAACTCACATGACTTTTCAATTCAATATTTCTTTAACTTTCTCTTAACATATATTATCTGTCACATGGAATTACTAGGAAATTACCTGGCCAGCTTCATGCCTAACATCCTCTCAGGGAGCATATAGGTTTCTGCGTTGTTACTTTGTGCCAATTACAGATAACCTTGTTTGGTAAACTGAACTTAAAAATTTAGAACACCTTTACAATTCACAGCAGTGTACTTTTGTTTGAATGCATGCTGAACACATCCCCTTTCCAGCTCCCATCCCTCCCTGGACCACCTTCCAGGGTGGTCACCTGTCCTTTCCTTTTCTCCTTTTCTCCTCCCTCTGTTCCCCTTTTACCTTTTCTTGCTCTACTTCTTTTCCCTGACTACTCTGTCTTATAAATTTCTATAAAAGTCAATGTGCTTTCGAAGTTTATTTTATCCGGAATGATACTCTTTTCCTTCAAAGGAGAAAAATGAAAACAAGTGTTTACAAACAATAAAGTCAAAATACATTTGGTGGTGGCTCATGCCTGTAATCCCAGCACTTTGGGAGGACAAGGTGGGTGGATCACTTGAGGTCAGGAGTTCAGGAGTTTAGGAGTTCAAGACCAGCCTAGCCAAAATGCTGAAACCCCGTCTCTACTAAAAATACAAAAATTAGCCAGGTGTGGTGGTGTGGGCCTGTAATTTCAGCTACTCAGGAGACTGAGGTGGGAAGATTGCTTGAACCTGGGAGGCAGAGGTTGCAGTGAGCTGAGATCGCAGCACTGCACTTCAGCCTGAGTGATAGAGTGAGACACTGTCTCGAAAACAAACAAACAAAAACAAAATACATTTTCCAAAGGAAAAAAAGTTCCTGTGGAAATTTTATATTTACCAAGTTGATCTGATTCCAAAGGATGTTAGAGGCTCATACTGAGTCCATGTGTTCATGGCATATTGAAAGACTAGACCAAAGATATATCAATACATTCTGGAACAGAAGTTACTACTCGGCACATTGCAATGAAACTGGATATGAAAACAGTCTAGGGTGATCATCTTAACATCTGAAATTTTTTTTCTGAAATTAAGCAATCTTTGAATAAAGGGAATCACACATATCTAATTTGCTGAGCATATTGACTATCATAAATCACTTCCTCGTATCTGGGGACACTACATAACATATCACGTTGTAATAGTACCCAGGTATTCAGTTCTCAGTTCTTAAATAAAAGGCATACATCAATAACAAGAAAGAGTAAAAAGATATCAATTGAATAGTCCAATTCAAATAGATAGAACAACATAATATGTGCAAAAGAAGCAACAGTAAGCAATAAGGAAACAAAAATAAATATGTAAGAAAACAGAAAAAAGTATAACTAATAAATTAAGAACTGTTTCTTTGAGGAAAATAAATAGCTGTTCTGTCAGCTAACCTAATCAAGAAAGAGGAAGCAAAGAATATTAAATATACAAAATAAGAAAATTGTATGTGAAAATAACCAAATGTACTAGGAGAATTAGCAGGAGTATTACAGAATTGTTTGCTCAATTCTAGACTAATATATTTGAAATTGATAAGATGAGTGATTTTCTAGATTATAAATTATCAAGTCTTACCTTACAGAGGCTGAAAATCTAAACAATCCAATTGTCACAGAATACATAAAATATTTGTAATTTATCAGGAGTGTGAAAGAACAGGTCATTCTAATTCTTAAATTTTGTTTCAGAATGTAGAAAAAGGGAGCTTACAAAATAGGTCTATGCTGCCATAAACTTGATACTAAGCTCAGGTATATTACAAAAAACCTACTAAGCAGTCTCTTTTATGAATATGTTTAGCAATCTTTTTTATGAATATTTGTGCAAAATATATATTTAATATTATAAATATTTATTTTATAACTATTTTATATTTATGTAAAATTGTATGTAATTTAATATTCCTATTTTATAAAGTTTTAGTTTTTATTTAGTTTTGTGTTTTATTTTTCTTAAAGACATTTTATTCATTTAATTCTATAAGGTAACTTTGATATATTATTATATCACCATTCATGTGTTTATGTGAGAAATATTATTAATTGAAGGAACCATACTGTTCATTGTGATAAAAACATAAATAAGAGTACCAGTTAAAATTGGGTTCAAATCCTATTTCTGTTCTTTAATAGTTGAATAACTCTGGGTAAACTGACATTGTATCACAGAGTAGTAGTGGGGTAAATGATAAAATGCTTATGAGCCAATGGCATCTTGTGTGTCCTCTAACATGATACCTACAACTAGAGCTACCACTGTGATAAAGCCAACTAGTGATATCAAACCACTTCATCTCAAATTGCATATGTTAATATTAATTTTATTATCTGAAAAAAATTAAAGAACTTATAAAATTTAAAAGGTAACCAATTTCTAGGGACTATTACAACAAATAGAATAGTCTACTATGAAAATTAGTATATTCCACATGTTGCAATATATTCAACAAGGTACTAGAAACCCAATTTGTAAAATTGAAATACTAGAAGAAAACGTTAATTATATGACCTTAAAGTTCTGTTTTTGCCTTAGTGCCCTATTGGGAAAATATGCAGGACAGAAAAATCAGAGTATGTGCTTATTTCTCATTTTGTTATGGACTTAGGATAAGACCTGAGAAGAGAGAAGAGAACCCGCAGTCTTTACTTTCAATTTAAATATTCGTTTGAGAGTAATAACCACACATTCATCACGTGAGTTTCCTTGAGTTGGTAGCATAGAGAAATTCAGTTGAACAAATATTTAAAGATTTTTTTGTGTTGTATAATGCGGTATTTAAACTTATTCTCCTTTGAAGAGACTAACATGCAGTCTGTTTTGCAGGTTAAACACTATATCACCAAATTATGTATGCAAAGTTACTGTCATATTTTATTTAATGATTTATTTTTATGGAACTATTCCCCAACTGGCACACAATTTTCTCCTCTGCGAATTCTAACTTTAATGAGTAAATGACAAATATCCAACAGGTTTAATGTTATTTCAGTATTCACCCATCTGGAGTTTCCTCATGACCAACCCAGTTCTAAATTACAGAATATTGAAAGAAATTGGAATAAAAACAACAACAACAAAAAAGAATTCCATTTCTCCTCAAGTTTCTGAAATGAATATTAAGATTAGACAGAATATTAAGTTTAGTAGATTTATACATACAGAAAAAAAATTAAAAGGTCCTTTAAGCAAGCACAGTCTCCCAATGATATCCCTGCCCTGAGTGGTCAAGCACTTAAATTCTAGGCATATAATAGTTTGTATATTGTTCATCCAAATGAGCTTCTCCATTCTTCCACTGTGAGAAGAGCCCACGCCCTGTGGCCTTCCAGCAGATGAGACCTATTTGCTTATTCCGGATTTTGCCTGGATTTGCCTTTTGACTTACATCACACAATAATACGATGTTTAGCCAGAATTTGGAAGTTCAGTCTATAGCAAGCAAAAAAGCAAACTAGCAGGTCAAAGCTCAAAATGTTCAATTACCCACATGCTCATAATTCTCTTAGTTATCTGATTCAAGCAGCTATGTAAATTTGTTTGAAAAATCATATAGAGGACAGAATGTTGAGATATTTAGATGAAAATTACAATAACCCTGGCATAGACTCAAATGGAAAATGCTTTTAAAAATTCTATTCCAGAATAGTTTTTAGAGTCAATACAGTTTGAAAAACTTTGGTTAATTCTGAGTTAAGCATATTAGGGATTATAGAAACATAATCAAAAATTGTGTTGGATAAATCTAAATTAAGAAAAAATGAGAGTTTTTGTATGGGCCATTTTCAAGGTTGCCTGTGAAGTTATGCAAAGTTAAATTATTAGCAAGTCACAAATATTCTACTGAAGCCATTGAATTGAACTTCCACCTATATACTTGGATTAAAAAAAGAGAGCCCATGTAAAGAAAATTAAAGGTCTCCTTTGCAAAATTCATCTTCTAGATTTGCAAAATCATTTTCCAGGTTAGAGATCTGTTGACTTATGAATTAGAATTATATTTGGCTTCAAGTGACAGAAAGCTGAAAATAACAGTGGCCCAAATAAAATGGAAGTTTATTTATCACCCACATCAAACAAATTCTCTCTTAGCCACGGTTCAGTGCAGAAAAGAACACCCATTCTAAAGCAGGAAAGGTTTTATTCAGCGGTTTCGGTTCCCACCAGGTCACTGCAAGGGCTGGGAGAGCTCCTGCCTCTGATGCCACCGCAGAGCTGCACTGGCCCCCAGCAGCCTCAGAACACACCGGAGCTGGGGACTTCCCTTCCAAAGCGGTGATCCAGGGGTGAGGATGGCTGAGCAAGAAACTGGCCATGCTCACAACAGCTTCTTGACCCTCTGGAAGCTGGGAATGAACACAAGAAAGTGCTTCAGAATGCAAAGCCCTGTTAGCCAGTTATGGTAGTCAGGAGCCACAGTAAGGCCTGTGCCTCCCTTTCAGATAGCATCCCAGTGCTTTTAATTATCAGAACTAAATTCACATTTAGACCTTGTCTAAAAGGGATTCTGCAAAGGTGCAGTGTTGAGTTTTTCAAACTCTTTCAAACAGAAGGCAAGGGTGAAATAAGGGTTGAGAAAATGAAATCAAGAAAGTTCCCCTGAGCCTGGAGGTGTGAAGTCGCATTGCTGTAAGTACGCAGGCTCCCTCCTGCTTTCTGCCCTGTTATCCCAGTGACCTCCCCTTGTTCTCTTTGTCAGTGTTAGCGAGTAGAGCTGGAACCATCAATCCCACATTCCTGGCACCTGGTGAAGGAAGTGGCTAGGAGAGATGGGGCCTGAGATGTGAGCCTGCTGTCTGGTAAAGTGGTCTTGAGGAAGCTGTCCCCAACATTCCCATCTACATCTCATTATCTAGACCTTAGCATCTAGATAATATCTAGACCTAGAGGGCACACCAAGCTCTCGAGGAGAAAAATGTACAGAAAATGAAGGCTTTGTTTCTATTCAAACAAATAATTTGAGAAGGGATCTGACATTGATTTAGCCTTGACAACAACCAGGTACTGCACTTGGCACTTTCCATTTGCTATTTGATTTTATTATCATGATTATATCATCAGTATTTTAACGCCTCTCTATTAATAGTGAAATTTTGGGTAGGGCACATTAAAGTTTTAGACTGGTCCAAAAAGCCTACTTCAGCCCCCACAAAAAAACATATATACATTTCTGAATTAAAAAGTCATCAAACTTTGTACAGAAAATTTCAAGGGCACAGTCTTTTATAAAACACAAAACAAGGACTTGCTGGTTATCTTTCTCCTGACCTGCAATCACAGCTTCAGGTACTTCTGGGCTTATCATAGCACCCGTAGTCTGTGAAGCCAAAAGGTCGTGGGGCCGAGCTTCAATTCCTGATAGGTTTCCACCGCTCCTCTCTATGGTCTTCACCACACTCAGTCTTTAAAATGAAAACTGAGTTTTTCAAGTTTATGTAAATTGCTTTAAAATTGTAGCTTCATGACAAATAGTTTAGTTCTATCTCTTTTAAGTTGAGTGCTAAATCAATCCTATTTAAAAATTGTGAAGCTATGTCTCATTTCAATATATATAAGCATAGTATTAATGATATATTACATATAGAGGAGTGTGCACATGAAATAATTCAGTATGTACTTTTTTCCGTCTGGCTTCTTTTTCTCAAGTTCATGTTTGTGAGATTTATACATACTGTTGAGCATTGAGAAATTTTGGTTTCTAGAGTCTCAGTGCTTTAGAATAATATTATTCTGTTATTCAAAATATTGCAATTTATTCATTTTTTATATTGACATACATTGCATACTTTCAAATGTGGAGTTATTATAAATGCCTACGTATGGTGATTTCTGTAGCTGTCTTTTTTTTAAAAAAATCTGTTTTTAAGACACATTTTGTTGGGTCATACAATATGTGTATATTCAGTGTTAGAAGATATTGCCAAAACTTTTCACTCTGGCTATTTCATTTTACATTCCCATCAACAATGTTTGAGAATCTCACTGAGTTCTCATCCTCACCAATATTGGTATTG
The DNA here is from genome assembly GCF_000001405.40 of Homo sapiens. Lineage (NCBI taxonomy): Eukaryota > Metazoa > Chordata > Mammalia > Primates > Hominidae > Homo > Homo sapiens. The sequence goes on along the minus strand of NW_025791781.1, from coordinate 83,911 downwards.
TCCGTATTTTTCATAAGAGCCTTTTTTATATATTCATGATTATTTTCAACATGTAGGTCTTGCAAGGAAAATAGTCTTCATGTCACATAAAAATGACTGGCTAGTCAAAGCTGTGCAAGGAGAGAAACAAGTTAATGAATACTCTAATCAGAATGCAGGCCCTGACAGACTAGCATAGACATGTGTGCCTTTAGGAGTCCTGGCAACAGAAGGGGTTCAGTTGCATTCATTGCCAGTCAGGAAGTCACTAAGGCTTCAAGCATCAAAGAGGATTTCAAGTGAGGCTAGTTGAACCAAAGGAAACTTCAAGTGATCTGTTATAAAATACTGCTCTTCAAATGACTGAAACATTTTATTTTGATCAGCTTAGAGCTATTTCAAGTATTGTGATAAAATGCAAACCTACGTATATTAGGTCAACTGAGCTTGGACAAGGGTGCTAAGAATACACAATAGGGAAAAGATAGTCACTTCAACAAATGTTGTTGAGAAAACCGAACATCCACATGCAAAAGAATGTAGAGATTCCTATTTTACAGCACACACAAACAAAACTCAAAATTAATTAAAGACCTATAAACTCAAAATTAATTAAAGACTTAAAGGTAAGACCTGAAACTGTATAACTTCTACGAGAAAACATAGAAAAAATCTTCTTGACATTAGGGCAGACAATAGTGTCTTGAATAAGTCCCCCAAAGTATGGGCAATAGAAGCAAAAATAAAGAAGTTGGACTATGTCAATCTGAAAAGTTTCTGGGCTGGGCGCAATGGCTCATGCCTGTAATCCTAGCACTTTGGGAAGCCAAGGCAGGCAGATCACATGAAGCTAGGAGTTTGAAACCAGCCTGGTCAATGTGGTGAAACCAGTCTCTACTAAAAAGACAAAAATTAGCTGGGCATTGTGCTTCACGTCTGTAATCTCAGCTACTCAGGGGGCTGAGGCAGGAGAATCACTTGAACCTGGGAGACAAGTTGCAGTGAGCCAAGATCATGCCACTGCACTCCAGCCTGGGCGTCAGAGCAAGATTCTGTCTTAAAAAGAATGAATAAATAAAATAAAATAAAATAAAAAGCTTCTGCACAGCAAATGAAACAATCAACAGAGTAAAAAGGCAACCTCCCACATAGGATAAAAAATTCACAAAACATGTGTCTGCTAAGAGGTTAATATCTAAAATATATAAGGAATTTTTACAACTCAATAGCAAAAGAAGAAATGACCTGATTTAAACATGGGCAAAGAGTCCTGGTATGGTGGCTCACACCTGTAATCCCAGCACTTTGGGAGGCTGAGGCAGGCAGATCACAAAGTCAGGAGCTCGAGCCAGCCTGGCCTATATGGTGAAACTCTGTCTCTACTAAAAATACAAAAATTAGCCAGGTGTGGTGGCATGCGCATGTAGTCCCAGCTACTCAGGAGGCTGAGGCAGAAGAATTGCTTGAACCCAGGAGGCTGAGGTTGCAGTGAGCCCAGATCGTGTCACTGCACTCCAGCCTGGGCTACAGAGGAAGACCCCATCTCAAAAAAAAAAAAGGCAAAGAATTTGGATTGACATTTCTCTAAATAAGACACATAAATGGTCAACTGGTAAAATATGCTCAACAATTTTTTTTTTTTTTTTGAGACGGAGTCTCACTCTGTCGCCCAGGCTGGAGTGCAGCGGTGTGATCACGGCTCACTGAAAGCTCTGCCTCCCTGGTTCACGCCATTCTCCTGCCACAGCCTCCCGAGCAGCTGGGTCTACAGGTGCCTGCCACCCCAGCCGGCTAATTTTTTTGTATTTTTAGTAGAGACGGGGTTTCACCGTGTTAACCAGGATGGTCTCCATCTCCTGACCTCGTGATCCACCCGCCTTGGCCTCCCAAAGTCAACATTTTTAATCATTGGTGAAATGCAAATCAAAACCACAATGAAGTATCCAAAAACAAAAGATAACTACTGCTGACAAGGATGTAGAGAAATTAGAAACATTCTACACTATTGGTGGAAATGCAAAATGGTGGTTACTATGGAATATAGTATGGAGTTTCCTCAAGAAACTAAAAATGGAACTACTATGCTATGCAGCAATTCCACTTCTGATTATATATTCAACATAATTGAAGTCAGGATTTCAAGGAGATTTCTTCACTCCCATGTTCATTGAAATATTATTCACAGTAGGCAAGCAATGGAAACAACCCAAATGTCCACTCACAGATGAATGGAAAAAGGAAACATGGCATATACTTACAAGAAATATTCGGCCTTAAAAAGAAGGAAATCCTGACATTTGTAACCACAAGGATGAACCTGGAGGACATTATGCTAAGTTAAATAAGCCTGTCACAAAAACACAAATACTACATGATTCCACTTATATGAGGTACCTAAAATAGCCAAACTCTTAGAAACAGAATAGAATGGTGGTTACCAGGGCCAAGTAAGGATAAAGGGAAGGGGCTGCCGTCCTTAATGGTAACCATTTGGGAGAGAAAATGTAGGTCTCTGGCCAGTCCAGGCTCTACTATCCAGCTCCTTGGATGACACCCAAAGGAGGAGACAGGACTCAAAGGGGAAATGGTCACTGTACTCACTTAAGAGGAAAGTCTCTCAGACACATCCAAGTCGCCCATATCTGAATGTGGCTGAGAATTGCCTGAGCTTCCCATTTTCTAGTAGCTGATGCGCATCACAAGGGTGAAGTTTCTTACACTGTCTTGCCAAGTGTTTACCAGAGAGACATAATTTGATTTAGAAAAAGAAACAAATGTGACCTTTCTTAGACCCAGTCTTGTAAAGTAATATTCATACATTAGGATATTTGAGTGTCATCACTTTGATGTTACGCCTTTTCATGTTTTTAAACCATTGCATGTTTCTCATTAAATTTTAAGTATCTTAGACAAGAGACAATGACGTATTCTTTCTTCGACTCTCATTACCTGTTACTTGAGACGAAAGTGTGAAAGATAAATACTTGTCAATGAATAAACGAATCAGAAGCTCTTGAACCTAGGAGTGTTTATTTAAAACAAAGACCAGGCCCTGTGTGGATACCCATGTTGGCCATAGGACACTTTTGCTTTTATATTTTCTGTTTGCCAACTGTCAGTACCTTTTGCCAAATGTAAGGTTGTGGATAAACTAGTTACTAAGGAAGGACACCGTTTCACCAGGCTGTTGACTTATCAACAACCTTGGCTAGATCCATCTGAGAGCACATGACAGTAGAATGGATAAGAGCTATGAACTCTTTTGAGTGACCCACAACCTTCCCAGGTGCTCAGAGAATGTAGTCTCCTGAGCAGGAGAGGGGCAGCAGCCAGCCTCATACACATGGGCTTTCTCTAAAATATCAACCACATCATTCTCCTTTTTTAAAAAAAAGAATAGCCTTATTGAAGTGTAACTGATACACAAAAGCTGCACATATATAATGTTAAAAATTTAACAAGTTTGGACATGTGCAAGCACCCATGAAACCATCAGTATAATTCAAGGTAAGAGACAAATCCATCACCTCTCAAAGATTTTTTGTGCCCTTTGTTTTTTTATTTTTGTGTTTTGGTGTTTTATGTGTGTGGCGAGAATACTTAAGATCCACTGTCTTAACACATTTAAATGCATGTCTTCTCCTTTGGGTGTCATCCAAGGAGCTGGATAGTAGTGCCTGAATTGGCCAGAGACATTTTCTCTCCTAAATGGTTACCACATAGGGGCTGATGAAATATGTGACGTGTGTATACATTGGCACACAATGAAATAAATAAAAATCCCTTATGGATGGAGTTGGAATGATGAACAATGTATAGCAAAAGGAACTATTTAGTCTATATCACTGTATCATTTTAAATTTTATTTGTATTTATTTGTTTTAAAAATGGAAAAAACCCTCGAATGTATATTTACATCTATATGTGCCTTTTCTCATGTCTTCCTGGAATATCTCTAGAAGGATACACAAGGAACAAGAATCACTGGTTGCCTCTGAGGAAGGAAGTTTATGGCTTATCCAACAGACTTGAAAGGTGAATTTTCACTCTGTACATATTGACTTTTGCCAATTGACAATATATTATATTCTGAAAAAATTAATTTTAGTCTTCTGAGTGCGACTTTTTTCTTTTATTTTCTTTTTCTTTTTTTTTTTTTTTTGATAGGGAGTTTTGCTCTTGTTACTCAGGCTGGAGTGCAATGGCACGATCTCAGCTCACTGCAACCTCCACCTCCTGGGTTCAAGCGATTCTGCTGCCTCAGCCTCCCAAGTAGCTGGGATTACAGGCATGTGTCACCACACCCGGCTAATTTTGTATTTTTAGTAGAGATGGGGCTTCTTCATGTTTGTCATGCTGGTCTTGAACTCAGGACCTCAGGTGATCCACCCGCCAAGGCCTCCGAAAGTGCTGGGATTACAGGGGTGAGTCACGGCACCTGGCCATTTTTTCTTTTTTGTGTGTGTTGTCATTTTGTGTTAATCAAGACTCAATTGAAAACATGTAGTTATTCTATGCATACGATAAAATATTAGGATTGAAATGGATGGAAATAGATATGACTTGAAAAAAATGAAAATAAGAATAAAATATCTTCAAATTTTAATTGTTACATCATTATATTGTACGTTAGGTTTACATATATGTTTACATAGTTTTTGAGTTTACCATGCTTTTTGAAATAAATATGTAAATATTTTATATGAATGTTTGTGTCATTGAAATATGTCGGCCATTTTTGTGTGATCTTATTATTATCCCAAAGTCTTTAGAGCTTTCCATTTTCTGTCATCTCAGACACTCTTTTGTAACATGCCACTAAGTATTGATTTATTCTCATTTATAACAGTCTTTAGTTACTACTAATAGAATCTATTTAGGTTAATGTAAGCAGACATGGGGTTTAGTAGTGGATATTAGGTGGATTAATTCTATAATAGAATTTCTATAGAATACAGAAAAAGTGAATTAAAAGGCTTGAGTTTAAGCTTTTAGACTCACTGGCCCAGCTGCAGAGGGGTATGCTGAAGGCATCACTATCTGCTGTGGCTAGACACAAAATGCCAGCAAATCACCTCTTTTGCAATTGCTCTCAAACCAGATGTAAGAGTTCTCCAGTGGCAGGCTGACCTTGGAACTAACCCCAGAGTAAGAACTCCACCCACCAAAAAGCCAGTTACATACAGAACCTTCTTCTTCATGTTACTCACATTCCAATCAAAACGGTTCCTGAGGGCTGGGTGTGGTGTCTCAAGCCTTTAACCCCAGCACTCTGGGAGGCCGAGGCGGGTGGATCACCTGAGGTGAGGAGTTTGAGACCAGCCTGGGCAACATGGTGAAACCCGGTCTCTACTAAAAATACAAAACATTGGCCAGGCATGGTGGCTCATGCCTGTAATCCCAGCACTTTGGGAGGCCGAGACGGGCGTGTCACTTGGGGTCAGGAGTTTGAGACAAGCCTAGCCAACATAGTGAAACCCTGTCTCCACTAAAAATACAAAAAAATTAGCTGGGCATGGTGGTGGGTGCCAGTAGTCCCAGCTACTTGGGAGGCTGAGGCAGGAGAATCGCTTGAACCTGGGAGGCATAGGTTGCAGTGAGCCGAGATTGCCCCACTACACTCCAGCCTGGGTGACAGGGTGAGATTCTGTCTCAAAAAAAAAAAAAAAAAAAAAAAATTAGCCGGGTGTAGGGGTGCACGCCTGTAATCCCAGCTACTTGGGAGGCTGAGGCAGGAAAATTGCTTGAACTTGGGTGGCGGAGGTTGCAGTGAGCCAAGATTGCGCCATTGCACTTCAGACTGGGCAACAATAGCGAAACTCCATCTCAAAAAGTCGAAAAAAAAAAATGAAAAAATGGTTCCTGGATGTAACAGATTGGGGCAGTGCAGGCCACGTCTGCATGCTAGCTGCAAAGGAGGCAGAAAATGTAATCAAACAACAAGCTTTCGAAAAAATATATATTTATTTATTATATATATTATTACACATAAAATTCTATTATATGTAAAACATGTATTATATGTAAAAAATAAATATATATTATATATAAATATATATTATTATATATTATTATATGTATTTTTGGAAAGCTTGTTTGATTGATATATATATGCTTGGTGCTTAAATCAGTGTCCTTTTTTTAAAAATGTATCCATAAAGTTTTGAGTTTCTTTTTGTTTGCTTTTTATTTTTAGTTTGAAAATCCTAATTAAGCTTCAGAAACTCTTTTTTTTTTGCATGTGACATTGGAATCTATTTTGTTGCTGTCATCATCATCATCATTATTGTTATTGTTTTTGTTTTTGAGACAGGGTCTCACCTAGGCTGCAGTGCAGTGATGCAGTGACCTTTGCCTCTCCAGCTCAAGCTAGCCTTCCTCCTCAGCCTCCCGAGTAGCTGGGACTACAGGCGCATGTCACCATGCCTGGCTAATTTTTGTATTTTTTTGTAGAGAAAAGGTTTCATCATGTTGCCCAGGTTGGTCTCGAATTCCTGGGCTCGAGATCTGCCCACCTCGGCCTCCCAAAGTTCTGGGATTACGGGCATGTGTCACGGAATCAGGCCATCATTATGGTTAATTCAGGTGCTCCCAAGTGTCCTTTAGCAGGGGACAAGCTGCATCTGTGTTCTGATTGTTGCAACTAATTCTCTTCTTCCTGGCTTCTGAAGAGCCTCAAATAATCTCTTATCATGATTGTTATTATCATCATGATTATTTGGTTTCCCTGAGTTTACAACTGAGTAGTTGTAGTATTCTTTTTCTGTCGCCCAGGCTGGAGTGCAGTGGCGCGATCTCGGCTCATTGTAACCTCCGCCTCCTGGGTTCAAGCACTTCTCCTGCCTGAGCCTCCTGAGTAGCTGGGATTACAGGCATGCGCCACCATGCCCAGCTAATATTTTTGTATTTTTAGTAGAGATGGAGTTTCACCATATTGGCCAGCCTGGTCTCAAACTTCTGACCTTGTGGTCCACCCACCTTGGCCTCCCAAAGTGCTGGGATTACAGGCGTGAGCCACTGCGTGTGGCCTAGCTGTAGTATTCTTAATGGCATGAATGCCATAAAGTGTGAAAGATAAAAATCACAGGTCTATACGTCATAGACCTGTACTCGCCCAGCATAAAAGGTAGGGAAAGCTTAGCCTATGAGTTCACCTCCAGCTTAAGAGGAGAATGGGCCAACTCAAGTAACACTGACTTTGGCCTTGGCTCAGGTTCACAGATCACCATTACTGAGAATATGTATCTGGGAGCAGGCCCAGGCCCTCCACTTCTGTGTTCAGATCATATTCTGTGGATTGCCCACAGGGCACCCTAGCAGAAGCAGATCCCCAATTATACCCACAGGAATGTCAACAGAACCAGGGACTCAGTCTCACCCAAGCTCCCTCCCAACACCTGGAATTGTGGGCACCTGGTTTAGACGAAGGTGCACAAGGAAGGCACATGGAGCTAATGTGTCTTCCCTGGGCCGCTTTGTCTAAACCCGGTAGCAGGTGTCCACTTTCCAGAAATCTCTTCTAGCATTATTGCTGGCAACTTTGGAGGGCTCTCTATACTTTTATGGCATGAACCTGTCAATATCTTTGATAATCTACGTTTTTACAAAAACTCTACTTCTGAAACTATCTTAAGAAAAATATATCAGCCTGCAAAAATGCAAGATGAATAATATTTACTGAATTCTCTGCTTTAAAGCATCAGAAATAATCTATAAAGAATAGGCAACGAGTTTTAAGAAGGCTGATATAATGTGATTAATTCAATTTAAAATTATGTTTAAGGAAATTATTTTGTGTTATAAAGAAGTGTTATGCTACAGAGCTTTAACTGTAAAAGCAGAATGAAAAGCATCATGTACACTATATTTGAAGAGATGCATTTATAAGTTCTTCTGATTCAAAATGCCTGTGTTTTCTTGTCTTCCTTGATGTATTGTCTCCTGATTTTTCTTTCAAATTCATTCCTGCTCTTTAGTTTCCCTGCCTGTGTTCCCTCCTTTACCTGGTCCTTAAATGTTGATGGTCTGTGGAACTCAACCCTTTCTTGAACACATTTTCTTCCCACTGAAGAAACAGACTATTATACATCCTCTTTTTGAGAAGAGGAAGCTTTAAATAAATATATAAATATCCTTTAAGAAAAGTTAAGAGTGTTTAGTGAAAGGAAAAGTATGAACTGAATCAGTTGGCCCTTACAGCATTTAGGGTACGATAAGGGAGGCTGAACCACTCCACGTGGTATGGAGTGAAAGGGTTAGCAGAATGTTTAGCCATTATACAATGGTGGGAGCAGATGAAGAAGTCTGTGGAAAACTGTTGTCTCTGCACTGTTTTATGGCCTGAGGTCACTCTATGACTCTTGGGCCAGCAGTCAGGAAGAAAGTCCAAGCATGAAGGAGGGGACAGTGAGCACAACCTGGAATCTGTGAGGATAAACCAGATCCTCGTCTGCCTCTTATCGTTTCCAGTCTCAATTACATGCGTGGCTTGCAGGAGTTGCAGAAAGAATGCCTCTCCTGGGTCTCAGGAAAGCTGAAACAGGAAACCCAGGGCAGGGGCAGGAGATCAGGGGACTGCCCTGAGCCACAGTGGAGGCTGCATCTAAGTCGATTTTCAGAGCATAAGAGAAATGGCTGTGCCTTTCCTTCTGCTTTTCAAACCTCCTACTCATTTCTGTTATGGCCAAACCCTAACTGCACCATACAGGGAAGGGAGTCCCTGGGAAATGTAGTTCCAGCCTGGTTAAATTGACATGGCGTAAAACCACTGCAGTTCTCAAATATTATGTAATACTGGGTTATAAATCATATTCTACATATGTAAGAAAGTGGAAAGAAATAGAATGTTTATAAGCTGGGAGGCTAAACAATGAATTCATTTACTGACTGAATAGAAAAATGGAAAACAAGATTAAATATGATGAGGCTCTGTTCTTTGTCGTCAGTGACAGTTTTTTCTATTGTGTTCCCTGATGTTCTGTACAACGAGATAAGGAATCTTGGCTTGTCAAGCAGTGGGACTCAAAGCCAGCCTCTCTCTCTAAAATGAAACCCAGATTTATCTGTTTGTAGGAATGTCAGCATTGTAAAAGATGTTTTTGATAATTGTAGCAAGTCTTAAAACACAACAAGTGTGGGGTGTCATGGTGATTCATAAATTGTTCATGTTGGCATCACACTGGTCAAACTGGGTTCCTGGTGAACCCACCATTATTTTTCTCTCTCCTTCCCCATATCACAAAGGGCTTCAGAATCTAGGCTGCCATGTCAGGCTGCCTGGGTTTGAATCCTGCCTTTGCCGCACACTTAGTCATGTGACATTGAACAATTTTCTGTGACTCCATTTTCTAACACATGAAATTGTGGTCAGAGTTGTGTCTGTTTCAGTGGATTGCTATGGAGATTAAATGAGTGATAGGTGTAAATCATGGGAGACGGGGGTCCTATTGTAGTGGAAGTCCTCACTGAGGGGCTGGTCTTATTCTAACTCCCCACCTTGACCTGCACCCTCTCTGCCCACGTCCATTAGAACCCAGTGATGCCCAGCACAGCTCTTAAACTTAATATCTCTGTGTTCCAGCACATTTTTTCAAAATTGAATTAAATAAAAATGTTTTGGACAGTTCCGAACCAATTTGTTCTTCTGTGTATCTTTGACGTTAGGCAACTTCATCCAATCCATGGTTTAATTCCTCTCAACGTTCTGAAAAACGTCCTAATGTGCTTTCTCATTTTGAGTTCTGGACTTAAATGCTCTCACTTTTCTTTATCTGGAAGTCTCACCAGCACCTTGAATGCAGTGTTTCCAAAATGAAAGTCACAATTAGCGCCCCTTACATGCAATATTTTTTCTGTTTCAGTAAAAAATGCTAAAGTGTTGCTTATGCAAGATGCCTAGACTGATGCAGCACCTTCCTGTGCTGCAGCCATCTCACCCTTGCCCTCCCTTAAATTCTAGACTACTACTCTCATCTACATTTTCAAAAGTTTATCTTTATTGGCTGCTTAATATTATTAATAAAATTTTCTCCATTTTTTTGTCATGAGTAATTATATACATTATATACGTTTCAGCAAATATATCACTTGAAGGATATTATTAGCAACATTATTTAAAATACTGAAATACTGATTTTTGTTAAATCTTATTCCCTCTATTCCATATCTATCTACTCCTTGGTAATTTGAGTTAACTATTCTCTACATCCAATTTTTTCTTTTCCTTATGTACTTTCATGATTAATCCAAATTCAGTATGTTTCTTGTTTTCTATCAACTAAAATCATTGTTTCCAGACTCAACACCACTCTACTTGTGTCTAATTTCAGTAGATAATTTTTCAGCCCCTTCTTCACTGATATTACAGCAGTAGGTGAGACCCTTGACTGCAGCTTTTGTGAAAAGTACCCTGCCTTTATTTTTTGGGACTCTACACTCCTAGTTTTGCCTACCTCTCTGGATTTCTTTTTCTTTCCTCAGTCTCCTTTTCAGTTTCCTCCTCAAACTACTCAAAGATGTGTGCTCCTCAAGGTTCTCTCTTGGGTCCTGCTCTCAATTCGTAAAATCCCACGGCTATTGTGTGCATCACTGGGTCCTCTGTGGTCCTCTATTGATAAACACTGTCGAATACTAAATCCGTATCTGACACACAAACAATTTCCTGAGTTTAGGCCCATATTCCAAATGCTTCCTGAACATTTTATTTCTACTGGATAGCTCCTTCATGCTCCAGATTCAACCAGTCCCAAAGAAAACTGATCATCTTTTTTCACCTTCTCAACTTGCTCTTCATTTAATGTTTCCCATTCCAAGGGATAATCCCACCATTTGCCTCCCTCTTTGCTCTTCCACAGCTCAGCAGTCACAGATTAAGTATTTCTCAGATCTGCTTTTTTTTCCTTTTCATTTCTGCAGTTATACCTCAAGTCTTGCTGCCATCATCTCCTTCTTATGTATGGTAGAATCTCCACCAGCACAGTTTCACCTGTGCGAGCACACTGCTGGCATTGAGTCTCCTGGAACATACACCCCCGTGTCTTTTTCTGGGTGTCAGGCCCTGGCTGTCTGTCCCTTTATACTCACCCTCACACCAACCCGTGAACTTTCCCTAACATAGCAAAAAGTACGCTTGAAAGTCAGTGACTGTTGAATGACCGATCTTTACTAAGAGATTCTAAGAAGCAAGAGGGGGCAAAGCACACAGCTGTTTCTCATCCCTGAAGCTCCAGTGCCCAGAGCTGGCATTCAGTGGTACCTTCACTATTGTGAACCAAATTAACGGAGAACTATTTTATTTCCTAATCTATGAGAGTTATCCTTTTTAAATGAACTTTCTCATTTCATTGGTTAAAAAATAAAAAAATCTCTTAAGAACATTATAAAGTAGTCATCATCAAAAATTTTCTCATTCTTCATTTTAATGGGGCAATTGTGGAATACCACAATAAAATGTTTTTAATTATTGTACAATGTTTATTACATTAGTGAGTTATGATTTACTTTTAGTGTACTAAGAGATTTTTTAAAAATCACAGATCAATTTTGAATTTTATAAAACACCTTTTCTGAAGAAAACATGCTGTAGTGACTTAAAGCCTTCTGCATAGTTACTAGCGGTATAATTTTCGGCAAGTTTCTTAACTGTTTTGTGAATAAGTTTTCTTTCTTAACTGCTTCGTGAATAAGTTTTCTTATCTGTAAAATGGACATAATTAAAGTAATGAAAGTGAGTGGGTAATATATATGTTAAACAAAGCATATGGAGTCAGGAAATGAAATGTGGGCGTTTAAAATTTTAGCAAAAAGTATTTCCCTGTAATTACAAAGTGCAGAGCATGGTCATGAGAAGATAACACGCGGCACTGGCTGGGAGGATCCAGAAATCTTCCCACACAAGGGTGATGTGAATCCAAGGCTGTTTAACCGTAAGGGTGGGGAAGCCCACACTGGCACAATATTTTGTAGGTGAGTTTGACATTATCTGTGAATTTCTATAAATGGGCCTATCTTTAATCCAGCATTTCTATAAACTTACTTCTTAGAAGTAAAATAGCATATTTTACTATATATGTATGTAGTATATATATATAACTATATATATATAGTTATATATATATTTGAATATATACCTTCAGGTCATATATGTCAGAATTTATATATATATAGAGAGAGAGAAATATATAACTTGAAGGATATTTTTAGCAACATTATTTAAAATACTGAAAAAGACATGAAAATATGGTACCCTGTGAAAGCCAAGGTACATTCACACAGTGAACGTTGTGACTCTGTGAAGAGTATAGAGCAGTATGCTGTTTCAAACAAAGGTATCTACAATATTTTATTAAGTACAAGAGCAATTTTCAGCACACAGCATTTTGCTATGATACTGATTTGCAAATAAATCATATATAATAATTAAACTTGTCACCAGGTCTTTCATCCCTGTTTTACCAACACATGCTCAAAGTGTAAAACTATCTTATCTTGTCATCCACCTACTTGCAATGCACCAGTAACTTCTGCTTGTGATAGTCTGCAATTCTCTGTGTGGCCTGGCCCCTCTCCAGCACTTCAGACTTGTCTCAAAATATAACTCCTCTTTCAATCGACATTTCAACAACTCACCTTTCTCTTCTTCATGTATTTGGCCCCACCACTCCTCTCAGAACACCAGGTCCAGAATCCACCTCTTCACCCTTCAGATTCCAGTGAAGTGTCATCTGCAAAAAGTAAGCAAATAAATAAATACCTTACTTCTTAGAGTACATCAAACCCCCAACTTAAGTACTTTCATAGATCACTGATTGTTCCATCATAGCTTGTAACATAGTTGTCACTTTACATAATGTGCGATTATTTGATATGCATTTGTCAGCTCTTCCCGATTGTAAACATCCTAAGGGGAAAGCCTCATATCTTCTATTACTCATCATTTTGTCATCGCCCCCTAGCACAGGATCTGACATATATGTAATGGAAACAAAATTATTCATTTGGCTAATGAATAAAAGTTGTATTTATCTGATGCTGTATTTACCAATTACATAAGAGTATTTTTTTGGATGATCAGTTCTTGGAGATTCTTACTATTTTGTCAATATAGAAGTGCACATTTTGACTGCTTTTACATTGAACAAGTATTTACTGTATTATAAAAAAAAATGGCAAACATTTATTTTTATAGGACTTGCCTGGAGACTGGAGGCTCCCTGAATGTGAGACTATTTCTGACTTTCCCAGGAGTAGAGTGTCTGCCAGAGAGGTGCAGCTTGAATTAATGAAACTGACACTTTGTGTCATCGCTGAACATCCTGAAATATAATATTTCAGTCACAGGATCAGGAATTTTATACTCACTCTAGCAATTATAGCACAAGCAGTAGCAGCTTCATTGTTAATATCTATAATTATAGCAGTCCTTATGGTAAGATTAAAATTATAAGATCATAATATAATCACAGTTTATTTCTTAATTCAATATTCTTCTATTTAATTCCTTGATTCACTGTCATTCTATGTGTGCATATAGTATTAATTTTTCTGTTTCTCATGTAGAGCAACTAAAATTCACTTTTTATCTTTCTGAATGTGCCTTATAAAGTTATATTTTGGGGAGATTTGTCAAAGTAAATATTAGGAATTATGGCTTAGGGCAATTTAAAATTATTGGCATGGTTCTGATTTGCAGATCTGTCTTTGTAAGTGTTCACACAGAATCTCAGTGGCTCCACGTAGTTCTCCTTAAATTGGCTATTTGCAACAAATAAACACTGGAAATTGAGAGAGGAACGCTTATGTTTTGTAGATATACCCCTAGGAGGTTTGCAGTCTCACAGTGATGACTGAGCAAAAGAGATGTCAGTGCACAGAGTTCACAATTACTGAAGCACTGAAACTAATTTTAAAGCATTTATGCTTGCAAGAAGGTCATCATTGTAGTCATCTTAAAGCATTTATCCTTGAATAAGTTTAAATTACTAAAATCTCATTAGCCATTAGGGGAAGTAAAAAGGTGGTTGAGTCCTGGTTTGAATTATTTTTCAGTAGCTTAAATCTGCCTGACTTATATTAATTCCTGACTTATACTGATAAAATGTTTAACTGCTGTGTGTATGTATGTGTATGCATGCATGTATGCTTGTGTAAAATGACTGACATACAGTTTACATAACAAATCAAGTCTGAGGTCTGTAGGGCCTAAAGAGCAGTGCTAAATATCACAAATGGAAGAGGGCAGGGCTGTCAATCGGAAAGAAATATGTAGATTTTAGTGTAAAAAGAGGAAATAGATTTTAGGTGATAAGGAAGGCAGAGTGAAGAGGAAAAATTCTGAGTGAGCTGAGCAGTCTGAAGATGGGCAGTAGAAGGGCACGGTAATGACCTCCAGGCGGACCACCAGGCAAGCCTTTTCAGAAGACAGGTAGAAGCAAGGTTCAGAGGCCACCTCTAAGCATGCAGCTTACTGAGTCTCATTGCAGCACACAGCAAGAGGCAGAGGAACAGAGAGGAGGAAGGTTAACACCATGAGGAGAGGAGCCAGCAGGATGCAAAGTCGTGCTGTCTGCTTTTCTGTCCCTTTTAGGGATAGCCGAACAACTGCCTAACTCCTGGATATATTATTACTTAGTTTATAAAGGCAAGTAGCTATCAATGTTAGGGAGTCCTTATGTAAACGGATAGAATTGCATGCGTGTGTGTATATGTCTATTCCTTGGTGGCATACTGCCCCGTGTTTCTCTCTATGTTGCCCTCTCCGTGCACAGTTGTGGTGCTTCCAGAACTAGAGTAGAGAGGCTCAGCATACAGATCCAGTATACCCTTATTCTATTAGAAAGTATAACAAGAACATCTGGCTACAGCGGTACCTCCTCCAAACCTGCAGAGCACCAATCACTTTTACATGCTCGTCTTGAGCAAGGAACACTGAGGACCAATGAGAGTATCACCAATGGGTGGCCAGTTTATGGGGGCAAGGACTTTCAAAAGTAGTTTGTGCCAGGAATATTTGTTACTTAGCTCGTCCTGCCATTGTCCTTTCCATCTATTTTCAGCACACTGGGCATTACTTAACTTGTCTACGTCTAGTGCGTCTCGCAAGCTAGATGCTCACTTACTTGCTAAGAATAGCAGATGAATGGGTTTTACCCACCCCAATTGATTTAATTGTTCCTTGTAGCTGAAGTGGATGTTCTTTTTTTTTCTTCTGAGACGGAGTCTCGCTCTGTCGCCCAGGCTGGAGTGCAGTGGCGCAATCTCCGCTCACTGCAAACTCCGCCTCCCGGGTTCACGCCATTCTCCTGCCTCAGCCTCCCGAATAGCTGGGACTACAGGCGCCCGCCACCTCGCCTGGCTAATTTTTTGTATTTTTAGTAGAGACGGGGTTTCACCGTGTTAGCCAGGATGGTCTCGATCTCCTGACCTCGTGATCCACCCGCCTTGGCCTCCCGAAGTGCTGGGATTACAGGCGTGAGCCACCGCGCCCAGCCGAAGTGGATGTTCTTAAATGGCATAGCAAACCCACCTCACAGGTGACTTTATGAACTAGGAAGGAAGAATGCGGCGGTGGGGCATCCTGGTATCCATATGCTCAGGGCTGCTTCCGAATAAGAAGGCCGCAGCAGCACACTATAGCTATGGCCAGAAACGACCCAACCGTGGGGTGACACTGAGCCAGTGTGAGCATGTGCAAACCAGCCAGTGCCGGGACCAGGACATGAGGCTGATGTGAGAGCTCTGCTCAGGTAAGGTGCATAATCTCTAGATCAGTAAATTTAAATGAAGTGTCTTTTTCTTTCTTTGAAAAGTATTTATTTATACAACATAATTTATCACAAAAGATATATTCATGTAACTTAGTTTCAATCCACAAAACTGACACACTACTTTAAAACCTAAAGATGAAAAGTGTCCAGATCTAATGAAAACAAATATTAAGGAAGTATTAGCATTTCTTGTTATAGTGAAAGCCATGAGGTATTGGCATAAATCTAGATAATTAGAATAGAGAAATAGAACAGGAAACTGAGAAATAAACTCAGTTATACATTGGAGAATAAATATAAGTAAAAGAAACATAATGATGTAAAGAAATATTTTAAAATAAATTTTATTTGGGAAATTGGCTGTTTGTGAAAATAAATTCATTTGGATTTTTACCTCATACCAACTACCAAAGTAATTCTGTGCATATGCTTAAAATAAAATAAAAAGGAAACATAAATAAAATGAGAATAATATGTATCCAACCTCTAAAGAGAGAAGGACTTTCTCAATTTAAAGGTAACAGGAAAACAATCATAAAAGAAAGGACTGACAAATTCAACAACATAAAGACATAAAATTTCTGTTGGTAAAAATAATTAAAGGGTAAACCAAACTAGGGAAAATATTTAAAGCAGACATGAAAGACAAAAAGTTACTATCTTTATCAACCAATGAGCATACTAATGGAAAGAATTAATGTTTTACTCTGCTAGGTCTCAGCTCCCACATCTGTAAAAAGGAGATAAAGCCGACTTGATAGGGCTTTTATAAGTATTAAATGAAATATTAGAGACTCAGACAGGAGGGATTATACAGTTTAGAAACCAACTGATGTCACAAAAAAAAAAAAAAAAAAAAAGGAAAAGCCATGCAGTGATCCAACCATGAATCTATATCAATAACAGAAGAAATTCCACCTTCAATAAGGGAAGCAGGGAGTCAACGAAGTATTTACGATAATGAGAGAAAGGCAGTCAGAGTCAAGGGAGCTGAGCTGAGAGAGCAATGAGACTGTCCAGAAGGAAAGTGCTGACAAGGGCAAAGTTCCTCTTCTGCTGGGCTACCGCAGGGATCCTGTATTCTGAACACTATTGTAGTTCTCTCTCAACGTAGGTGATCTCTTGCTGTTGTTAATTTGTTGTGTTGAATTATATTTATTATTTTGATACAAATAATTTTCTAGTTCAGGCAACAAAACAATTTGTAGAAGATACTTTTTTTTTTTTTTTTGAGACAGAGTCTCCCTCTGTCGCCCAGGCTGGAGTGCAGTGGTGCAATCTGGGCTCACTGCAAGCTCTGCCTCCTGGGTTCACACCCTTCACCTGCCTCAGCCTCCCGAGGAGCTGGGACTACAGGTGCCCACCACCACGCCCGGCTAATTTGTTTAGTAGAGATGGGGTTTCCCCATGTTAGTCGGGATGGTCTTGATCTCCTGACCTCGTGATCCACCCGCCTCGGCCTCCCAAAGTGCTGGGATTACAAGTGTGAGCCACCTTGCCTGGCCAGAAGATACTCTTTTTTTAAAATAAAAGAATTGCTTGAGTAACTGTCCTTTGTTAATCAAATCAAATAAAACAATGCAACATTTCCATTTTCTCAGTGTGGAGAGTGGTAAGACATTTTGTGTGCTAGCATTAGCAAAGGTGATACTCCCCTTAAAGAGCAGCATGTGGACAGCCAGGCACCAGGACTCCAGAACCTTGTGAATTTAGAACGTCAAATTGGAGCTCATCAATAAGGCAAGGGTAGCATGGGGAGGAGACCTGCCTTCAGCAGGTGGATCCAGGTGCATACAGCATATAACTAATTCTGAAGCTCCCCCAGTTACGTGGATGATGGCAGATTGGAGGGGGAAGAGTGTATGAACACAGGAATATCAACCAAAGAGGACGTTCATGTGGAGAGGTGGGAAAGGGCATAGGGTGTGAGGCCCCATGTTGGGCACCAGTGTTGCTTGGGCAGGCACAGCAAGGGTATCCCAGTGATAAAGATACCCTACCCATTGAACCACAAAGGATTGATCTTTAAAAATGTCTATGAATCATAATAGCTTGGAATTACCAAAACCCAGTTCTACCTCTGGAGTTTTGCTGACCATTATGTGTTTTGAAATTAAGTACATTCTTGAGATCTTCATATAGTGTAAGTCAAGATGAAAGGATTGGGCTTCCTGCTACTACATCATCTATGGAGGCTAAAGCAATTAAGTCAATAAGTAAAAGAAATACAGTCATATTTGCATGACAAATCCATGAATCAGGCTATAATACTTTCACTCCTGATAAATCCTAATCATCTGTGATAATCCAAGATTGGGCAAGAGTAATGTTTTGCAACCTGAAGATGTCAATATAGACCATAAAGATTTAGAAATTATTGATGGAACAATCTCAAAGAATGTAGACAAGATGGGATCAGAAGTAAAGGCAGAAGGCTTTCTCCTATAAGAGGAGCTATTTTATGTGATGGGATGGCCATCAATTATTTTTGAGAAGAGCTGGGGTAATATCAACTAAGGCTTTCATTTCCCTTTGAGGCCACTGGTAGCCTCTAGCTCTAGAAATCGCCATAAGTGTTTAGGAATGCTCATCTATAAGGGAGCCATTGCAAATCCCTCCCCTAGAGGAAAGGCCTGGATGCTTCTCAATCCCCTCCACTGTTTTGGAATGAGGTTTCATTCCCCTGGCTCTCTGTTTCTGTGTGAAGGGACATTCACTAGAGTGTCAGTCCTGTACTTTCTCTAGCCCACAATGTACTCTGCTCCAGGGAAGCATGAGTTTGGAGGAGAAAGTTGGTTTTCTCCTTCAGTACCTTCTGCTTTTTGGCACTGGAAATGCAGTTTTGTTTTCAAAGGTGGTCAATTTGAATCCATTGTCCATTCTGTGTTATATAAAAATCTGATCATTGGAATGGAGGGTTATAGGAGAATGTGCAGTTATCAATTTATATCCTCCCAGAGCCAAATTTCAATATATACCTCATTGTAATAGACAGAATTATTTTAAACATCTCCACATTACAGTGGACAAGATGTTAAGGTTTCTCAGTAATTGCAAGAGGAAAGGGGTGCCGTGTTGTAGGAGGGTTTGGGGAAATAGGGGTGAGAACAGCCCACGGAGCTGCACCTGACTATACTCCCAGAATGCATGGCCCCTGGCAATGCGAGCCTACTGATAACAGCTCTGCAGCCTTCTCTGTGTGGAAGTCGATGCCCTGAAGGCCTGCTGCTCACAGCAACCACAGCTTCCTTGGAAGCCTCCCCTGTGGCTCCCTGTGACATGGGCCTCTGCACTGTCTGCATGCCCACACCATCGGTTGATGATCCTCTGTGTATGAGACACCTGCATTCAGCAGGGCTGCTTCTAGGTTGCTCAGTGAATTTCAGACCAGTGCCAGTCCGGGAAAATCTGTAAACTTTTCTAGCTGTCCAGTGGGCTGAACTAAACCTACAATAAGGTGTGACCCCAGCCTTGAGATGAGGCCTCTCTTCCAAGTTTATCCAACTTCTGTACTCTCCCTCCACCCTAGGGTGCCATATAATGTGTTGTGCCAACAATCTGCTTTTCTACTAACATATCTCGTAATTACTTTTTAAATCATCGTTTCATGCTTCTTTATATTAAACTGCTGTTTTACCCACGGTGTGGTTTCTATCTCCTGATTGAACTAAGATAGATGCAAAGACAGGACAGACTCTTTTAAGGAAAATAACAATTGCTGATTGAGGATTTTGGTGGGGCAAGGCGCAGGGCTTTTGGTTGTGATGGTGTTCAGTAGCCTATGTTGGATCCCTGAGTAGTTTTTAGCATTTCACTGTTGGATTTTTATTGCAGCTCAGCAGGACTTTGACACTTCTGAGCGCATGTGATTTTGACCTTGGCAGGTCACTGCAGTCTAGGGAAGCTTTGTTCAAATATGGGTAGCTATTTTTGTATTGGCAGCATGTGGAACTGAGGGTCCCTTCACCAAATGGTAGTGGCCTTAGGGCACAGACTGCTGTAGCTTCGCCTTGAATCACTCAAGTGCAGTCTGGGTTCATATCCCAGGCAAGATTGAGGCAGCGTTAGTGGTAAGCACACCCAGACTGGCTACACACAGGGTTAAGGAAGGAGTGAAGAGGGGTCACCTGGGATTTCTTTAGATGCTACTGAGATTGGGCAATGGTCTGCGAAAACTCTAATGACTGTGATCAGGGAACAGAACCTCTCCTGGGATTCCTGCTTTAGGAAATGGGCATTGACTTATTTCCTAAATTTCACTGGTGAAGTCAATTCTGTGATAGTTTTTAACTCTAGAATCTAGCATATGAAGCTCCTTAAGAAATGTGGTATTAAACTGATATATATTTTTAATGTAACTTTTTTAGTAGGATTTATTTTTATTTCCAAATTTGAACTTGAGGTTTGGTAACAGAAGAAGTAATGTGGCAAACTGGTTCTACACACAGTTCTGGAAGCAAGAATGTTAAAGTGTTCCTCTTTTATAATGAATGTTCTTATGTTAAATTTAACTAAACTGTGGACTTTATTTGGATTTTGCCAGTTTTTCCACTGATGTCCCTGTTCTGCTGCAGGACCCATGCAGGAGCCCACAGTGCGTTCAGCCCACACATCTTCTTAGCCTTTGTCATCCACAGGAGTCTCCAGCGTTGTCCTTGCTTCCCACGGTTCTGACACTTTTGAAAAGTTCTGCTCAGGTACTTTGTAGAAAGTCCCTCAATTTGAATTTCCCTGATGGTTTATCATGATTAGACTGGGGCTCTAGATTTCTGGGAAGAATGATGCAGAGGAGAAGCGTCTTTCTCATCCCGTCATATTGGGGGTACATGAATGGTAGCCTTTGTTACTCAGGGTAGTTTCTGCCAGATTCTTTCTCCACTGCATAGTTACTATGTCTTCCCATTCCACTGTGCTAGAGGACAGTCAGTAAGTCCAGCCATCAAGGAATCCAAGGCCATATGTTTAAACCACTCCAGTAAATTATATATATTTCTTAGGGGGATATTTGGGGGCATGTATATACTCTGTTTCTTTTTAAAATTCTACCCACTAATTTTGACATTCTCCATGGATCTGGCCTGCAGCAATTATTGCTATGGTATTATAATGGTAATTTTCTCTCCCCCTTATTCATTTATATTTATTATTTGGAATTCTTCCATAAGAGTAACTGTCCCTCATCCTTATTTATTTATTTATTTATTTATTTATTTATTTATTTATGTGAATATGGACTCACAGGTGCTTAATTTATTCTTTGGTATCTAGCACACTATTAACATTATTTCTTCTGTTGCTCAAATTTTTTCTGCTATGGCCATTGGAAGCTTTTTCACATTAGCTCCTGTGCCTTTTTGGCATGTCCCCATCTTCTATTTATTTTTTAAGTGCTTTATTATTTTCTGGCACTATTAGATGGTTTACCTCATCTTGTGTTTTTCCTGCCCTGGCCCAGAGTCAATCATTTATCTGCAAAGTCATGGTTTCTTCTGATGGATAATGGTATTTTAAAATAAATATGAACATTGGCTTTGTTTGTTATTACTGGGGTGCCGCTGTTCCTAGGCCCTCTCAGTGGACATAGCTACAAATATTTGTGTGCCTATAAATACTAAACCATGTAGACATGGCTTAATTATCTATATCTACCTAGCTAATATCTATTCACCTAGCTATTATCTATTTATTTATCTATGCATTGACTCTCCATTAAAATAAACATGGATTTATCCTGATTCCTTGTACTCTAGTCTAGAACCACAGGGTTTACTCCAACCTTCCTTCTTGTTATTAACAACCTGCGTCTCTAGTGAGGAACCTGGCTCCCCTTACTCACAATGTTTTGAGGAAGAAGACCTGGGAAGACATACCTTTGACCCCTCTCTTTCTCCTGCATTTGTCTGCACTTGTGTTCACTACCTTCCATTTTTCAGTGCTGCCTATGATAAGGTGTGCAAGTGATTCTAATTTGAGGTTTCTGGTTTTGAAAACAAATTCTGTCTACAGACCTAAACCATGTTTACTGCTTCTCTAACAGGAATAGATCTCACCTTTTATTTCCACCTATTGACCCGTTTGTCTTTTCATGTGGTTTTAGACTCTGGCAGGGAAAACGGAGTGTCTACCACATGACACTGTGGGTAGGTGAAACAGATGCAATAGTCCCATAGACAGTTTTTTTAAAATTTTATTTTTTTGATAAAGAAAAAGGACCTTCTGGTGTTAAAGCTTGAAACTTACATTTGTGTTATCTGAATTCCTTCCTCAGGAAACTGCCTTCAGGACTCTCAAAAAAAAGTAACAGAGAACTAAAACTCACCGATCACCACATCCAGACAGTGAGATCTGGGGCCCCTCCTTCATGATGCCTGCTTCTTTGCCCCTTCCTAGTTCCTGCTTTGCTATGCATTATTACATTTCTTCCCTGCCATATAAACCTCTAGTTTTAGCCGTTCAGGGAGATGGATTTGAAACTGAGCTCCCATCTCCTTGGTTGCAGCACCTGATTAAAGCCTCTTTCTTGGCAATTCTCGTCATCTCGGTCATTGGTTTTCTGTGCGTTGAGCATAGAATATAGACCAAACCCTGGTGTTTCAGTCACATAGGGATGAAGGGATGTTATAGTCATTAAAGTTCTCTTCTGCATCAAGCTCTGTATTACACACTTTGTAGATGCTCTGTTTATGTCATCATCATAAACTGTGTTTTTATCCTCTAGTGCTACATGAGTTTAGATTTCACCACTACCCAGTGCAGGTCCTGAGATAGGGATTTAAGCACAGTAGGTGATATGGGAGGGGACCCCAAGGGGTACACTAAGGAAATGGAGAAGGAAGACATGAAAGGATGGAAAGCCAGTAAATCCTGCTGCATAGAGGGAGTTGGCACCATGACACCTGGGGCTGGATTTTATGGGGTGCCTGCTGAGAGCTGTCTCCACCAAGTAAGCTGAGGCATCCAGCCACCAGCAAACCTCTCTCGTTTTCTGAGATTGGCTCTTGATGCATTAACTCTTGGGCACTCTCAGCCTGCCCTAAGGACTGAACAGCGCTGCATCCAGAGAGTCCTTTGACTGAGAAACGCAGGGAGCCAGACACATGTCTGTGATGACTCTTGGGCTGTCCAGGGAATATGAATGGAATATTCACAACATCTGCTATAAGAACTATTTACATTTCATTGATGAGGAAATCAAGCCCCAAATATTTGAGCAACTTCACTGAAATGACAGGGCGAATTTAAGGCCACATCTTTAAACCCAGATCTGATGGGAGCTCACCCCCACCGCTTCTGTGTTGTGTGTGAAGCTGCCCTTTATCTCTATCTTGCCTCTTGCTGCTGGGCAGTGAAGATAAAAGGTGTGGCTATGCCTCCTGCAGAAGAGAAGCAGGGAAGAAATACTACATACATGTGTGGACATCAAGAGCCTTGGGAAATGGGTGGCAGTCTATCATGGAGACGACTTTTACACAAAAAGTGTGGCCTGTGCCAGGTAAAATCTGGGAAATGCTTAAGAGCTTTAACACCATCTCCTAATTGAAGTCAGCATTGAAGATGTCAGTGGACACAACTGTGAAGTCATAGTCTAACAGCTTTGGATGACTTTTGTGTCATCTGAGTACATTCCTTTGTCTTCAATCTTTCAGCATCCAAGTGGGAGCTGGATAAAAGGAGGAACAGACTCCAGCCACAATATCTTTTGAAAACCAGAGCAGTGAGAAAAACATTCATTTGCACTGGGCTGTTGCACTTACCTTGAACTGTGAGACGTATGCGCGAAGCTACAATGGAGTGAACCTCTGTGGGAAGGGGGCCAAACCTTGGGCATCACTCCGCTCCCACTGATGTGGCTTCCAACAGTTGCTTCTAATGGATGGGATCTCATGAAGTTACAGTGAAAAAATGCCATCTTGCATACACTTCTTGTGACATATACAAAAAAAAGTTACTCTCAAGGTGTGACACCTGGAGATCCACATGTACAGTGACCAGCTTTCATCGGCCAAAGACAACCAAGGACTCATGGAGTGGAAAAAGGAGGTTGACTGTGTTGAGAATATGAAGGTTGAATGGGACTTAAGCTCATTGGCAAAGGTCATAAAAAGATGCTAGTTTGAATGACAACTCAGTGACTCTCACTGAGAGAATAGAAGCCTGCCAGCTTTCATTGCCATGTTAGATTCACTGTTTGTAACAAGTATATTTTTTCTTTAAGCAAATAATAAAAATATTCACATTGGGAAATACAAAGAAAAAAAGAAAATAAGAATTAAGGTAATCTTGTCACCCAGTATTAAAATATATATTCTGATGTATAATTATACACATGTATTCCAATGTGTAATTATACATATATTATACACAAATAAATATATTATTTGTGTTTATATAGATATGTATATGTAATCATATATATCATATGTTATCATATATATATTCATATATATCTGTGTATATACATATATATCTTCTTCATTGGAGAATACCTGTGTAATTTTTATAATCTTGGAGCAGATTGTACACAAATTTTTATAATATTACTTTTTCACTCAATTATATTTATTTCTTACCTTAATTTTGTGTTAAAAGCATTTATATGCTCTTACATTACTTGGAAATAACAACTGAGACTCTGTGCCTTATCAAAGGAGAGGTTCTGCTTTCTGAATAACAGCCAAGCTTATATATTCTGGTGTTGTTTTAGTTCTTTTAAATTTTCTTGCATTTCATCCTTTCTTCTTGTTATATCATCTTTGATAGTTGGGTTGATTCTACCAATTGGTTATACCCTAAAATCAGACTCATATTCATATCTAACAACTGAAAAATCAGGCATTTGCTAACTTTAGGGTTAGTGCAATTGCAGATATAGGGATGTGTTCAGAGGACAGCTGGGGAATACGTGGGGATCACTCAGAATGCATCAGCTTCCACCGTGCACATGTTGCCCAGGTCTGAGGTCTTTCTCTACTATCAGCACTTCGTGGTGTGCCTTTGCATGGTCCAGGCTTATACAATAACTTCTGAAATAGCAGATTAATCTACACACATTACTTGCTTATAGGATGCTGGTCTAAGCCCAAGATGACAGCTGGAGGAACACCTGGTTCAGGCATCCCCCTCATTGGAACGTCCACTGCATTGAACCCATGGGCTCTTTAGACATCTCCTGGACAACAGCTTCACAATAAATTGCATGCCTATCTTTCTTCCTCTTTTCTTTCTTCCAACGATTTGAATATTTTATGTTCATGCTTTATTCTACTACTTCTTCATAATCATATGTTCAATTATTTCTCCCTAGTTACTAGTTTAAAGAAGAAAAGAGTATCTTTAAAGATCACGTGTATAAAGTCTTAAATTGCATTTACTTTCTCTTTTGTTTCTTGCATAAAACTAACGTTTTAAAGTAATCTAGTTTTTAAATCTATATTTTAGTGTTGCTGTTGAGATATTTATTATTATTTTATATATTAATATTAGGTTATTTTGACTTATGCATTGTTATAAAGTATTTTATGTCTTTGCTTAGATTTAGGTACCTTCTGTTATCTAATGTATATCTCATGACTGATATTTCTATCTTACCACATCTTCCTAATTTGAGAGTTCATATCTGACTCACCTATCAATTGGCTTCAGTGCAAGTTTAGATATATATGTGAGTAGGTGAGAAGAATTTTTTCTAGGAACATTGATATGTAGTTTTTGTCTTATTTTTCTTACTCATAGCAACTTGGCTTGGCTTAGAAACATTTTGGTAATAATCTACACTACACAAACCTCTGCATGTGTTATTTCATTATGATTCAGTTATTTTCTGTTGAAATATAGAACTCTTCTGCCTTTTAAAAATGTATTTCTTGATTTATGTCTGAGTGCATATGGGATTTACTTGTTTAAGTAAACTTAAAATTCAGAAAGTTTGGGCTTTATTAATTTAGTGGTTAGTAAGCAAGTTAATTTTAGGTCTGGAGCATGAGGCCTTGGGAGGACACTTATCTCTCTTATTTCTTTCTCCTCCTCATGATCTGTCTGCTCTTTACTGAGATAGTACGCATTGTGCACAAGAAACGATTTAATCATCTTCTATTTTATGTTTTCTTTATAATTTTCCTTTTAATTTTTATAGACCTAATACCTTTTATTTCATCGATTTGGTTTTTATGAAAACTTATCTTCTATTCTCTGCCTTGTCTACAGTTTAAGTTGGAGGTGATATTTTTGATCCCATGAAGGTTTATTGTTTTAGTCTCCAAATAAGAATCAACAGAGGCTTTTCAATATGTTTTTTGCTTGCTTATTTCTAGGCAGAATATAACCAATAATTTTGCTTGGATCTTCTTCTTGGTTTGTGTAACTTTCTTGGCCAGCTCTCTAGATTTCCTCCTGTTTTTGTAAGGCATGGCTTTTTGTGCCAGCATTCTCACAGCTTTCTAAGGAAGGGGACATGTCTCTCTCAGTCACTCTTACATCTCCAACCTCTATAACAGTGTATGACAAAACAATGTAATTCTTAATAAATGTTGATTTATAAAAAGCACAGGAAGAGTGCCACCATGATATCATTACCCAGTGTGGTTTATGGCACACACTTAGGATTTGGACCAAGTGTTCATAACAAGTGAGCTGGAAACTCAGAATTTATGTGCAAGTTGTCTCAGATAGAAAGGATGAGGCCCTTGCCAATAAAGAAAAGATCATCAGGTTGTGACCATGATTGCCGAACAACAAGTAAATAAATAATCAACTCTGCTAGTCATTATTTTTCTAATATATGATGCTGTCCAACAGACACAACTGTAGTTTTACATTTCAATGTATACAGTGTACAAATGAGTTCCAGAAACTACAAAATCATAATATTTTCAGAGGTATATTAGATACTAATAAATTAATATAGAAAAATAAATATTTACTACTTTGAACTGTTTATTTAAAATCCTGGAATTAATAAGACACTATGACTTTCATTTGAGATAACGTATATATCTATAAATTATATGGCAAAAACTGGGTCTAATTTCCAGATTCGTATGAGATTTATAGATCAGATTTATGAAAATGCAATTAATTCCAGCATATCTTTAATCTTAATATATTTTTCTCCATGAATAGTTTGATAAAACCCATGAAAGTAATATTAGTTCTTGAAAGAGCAAATATTTGAGGGAATTACTAATATTAAATAAAACACATTTTCCAAGTGTGTCATCTAGACATGTAATCTAGAGAATAACATTAGATTTAATATTCTCTAGCCCAATCTCTGTAGGCGTTATTGATCAAATCTCTATGTGGGATATTATATTAGTGAGCTTGATGGGTTGATAGGCTGGGTTTTTCATGTTGCATCTGATATTGTAGTGATTTTATTAGAACTTGATGAAATATATTCCATGGTTAGTTCAGTTGATTAATGCATTGTACTCATGAAGTTACATTTGAGTTCAATTTCCTTGTAAGAGTTCTTCATTTAATTGTCTGCAATGGCCTACTAATTTCAACTAATCCATCAAATATAAAAACACCCAATGGCAATTGGAGAAATTAGAGAGAGGGCGATTTAGACGAGTTACCAGGAGTACCATCATCTGGCCACATGTCTCATGAAAGTATCATAAGGGTATTCCCTGAATTTTAGTGAATTCATTATTTATGCTCTTGAGACTTCCATTAAATACAATTATGTAAACCTGCATGTCAATTTATTAATTTTTAAAAATTACAAATTGGAAAGTTTAACTGGTTACCAACTTTGTAGTAACCTGGCCAATGCAGTCTCAATACACAGAGAGACAAGTAATCATATGTTTGCTTGGTGAGTATGAATTCTAAGCAAGGAAGTTTATGTTCATATGATTTAAAGGTTTGTAATATCACATTATAAAAATCTGTTATAATTATGTCCTTAATATGGATATTGAAGAAGAGGAGATACTAGTGTCTGATTTTCAAGAGCAACACCTTCCTAAGGGGGTGCTTTTGTGGATTGCTTCTATAACAATTATTTTGTTTTCTAAGTTGACAATATCTTTGCTTCTAACTGGCCTATTATATTTCTATATTTTTTCAGTTAGATTATGTACTAGTCTTGCTCTGGCCTCTAAATTACTCTCTTTTCATAAGCATAAATATTTATGACTCAATTATTTGTGTGCCCTGTTGTTCAATTGGCAGGATACCATAATTTCCTTATTTCCAAACTATTGGGTTGCATATGTGCATACAAACCCTTATAAACTGGGGTGAGGGAGGGAACTGTTATTTTTTCAATCTACATCCATCCACATGACTGCAGAAACTAATATTTTACAATACTGAGATTTGTTTTGTAAATTCATCCTTATATATTGGGAAATTCATTGTAAGCTTTACATACTTATAACATGAATAGATTTTATTCAGTTACTAAATGCTCACATATTCATTGCACCTCAGAGTTTGTGTGAGAGAAACATTGAACAGTAATAGAAAAATTAATGCTTTTAAATGTCTTCCTTCAAAAATTATATATTATGGTTATGGATTTGAATATCAACATTCATAAATAGTTTTATTCTCTGAAAATTTCAGTAAAGATTAAGTGTAAACATGAACAAAAACACAAGAGAAAATCCAACCCTTGGCCACCTTATTATTTTCTCATTTCTAAATTCAAACACTCTTTGCTACAATAAATTCTGTCTCAATATTTTCCAATGTCTTAGTTTATGGACTTGACACAAAGGGTAATTTACAATATTCAGTTACCCTAGAGCAAATTATCTGAAATTTACTTTTTATAAACAACTCCTTTTTTAATTAAAACTTCAAATGTTTGTTGAATTCACTCAAAGCTTATATATAGATATAAACACAAAGTTTATGTATATTTACTCAAAGCTTATATATATAAATATATACCACATATACATGTAAACTGCATATATCTATATATATGTAGTGTAATATTCTTAAAACCTGTTTCTTTGTTTTGTTATATTAGGGGTCAAAGTTCTCTTTCTCCAGGGCAACATTGCTTTTCAAAGAGTGGCATATTTACTCTGGGGAAAGAGTCCAGAAGCTCTTCCAGCCTTTAGTGAAGTTTATCTAAAATGACGTCACGGGTCCTTAATACTCCTGTAATCTTTCTTTACCCAACTGTATGTCCCACGCATCTCTCCAGCACCGTGGCTCAGCACACACCCCCCAGTGTTCTTTTAGCTTTCCCTGTGGGAATCCATGCTGTGTCACCCCTGCACTAGCCACCCTACATTGCATCTGCTTTGGAGCCATTAATGGGGGTAAGGGATTCTCTATTGCTCTACTATTTGCATCCTAAATTATATTTTTACTACATATAACTATGTAATGTCAGAATATGCAGGCAGTTAAAAACAGAAACATTTTATGCAATAGTAACAACATAGCAACATTCTGTCTCTTTCTTTCTCATTCTCTCTCTGTCTCTATTATCTATCTTTCTGTCTTTGTGTGTGTATGTGTGTATGTATGGAAAGGGGGAATATGTACTCTCAGATTTTGAGTATTTATTCAAATATTAGGAGTCATTCAAAGTATTTCAGTATTTACTCAAATACTGATTGAATTGAAAGGATGTTAATTTATATATCATTATACATGTTCAGGATACTTTGATAATTCAGACTGTTGAGGCAAACCTAAAAACAAGCCTATTAGATCTAGCAATGAATAAAGATTGAAGAAGGCAAGTAGATGATGTCAAGAGGCTGAGTCCTCTAACAAGTGTATATGACTTGAGAAATGGCTCAGGTTCACTAGGAATATTGGTGAAGACAAAGAAAGACTCCAAAGTTGAAAGAATTGATATGCCCTGCTTGTTATCAAAAAGGGATTCATTCTTTAGAAATGTGAGGATGAATCCTTGGAGTACAATGTGATGCTCTTCCCTAAAGTCAAAAGAGAAATGGGCACCAAGAACGATTGAGGACAAGCAGTGTGATAAAACTCTATGAAGCTCTTTGAACTTAGTATACTGAAATCAGTCTTGGGCACTGTTGTATGCCAGTAGTTAATGAAGCAGATAGGAACACAGAGTGGCAGTCTTCCCACAACTTGCTACATGACCTTCAAGAAGTTAGATAATCATGTCATAGCTTTAGTTCTTCATTTTATTTTTTTAAAATAATAGATTATATTTTAGCAGTTTTCATTTTACAGAAAAATTTAGCAGAAGGTACAAAAGGTTCCCATGTACACCCTTAACCCCATGGCTTCCCCTATCATTAACATCTTGCATTAGTGTAGAACATTTTTACAATTGGCAACCTTACATTTATATATCATTTTTAAACTGGAGTTCATAGCTTACATGAGGATTCACTCCTGTGTTGTAAAATTCTTCAGGTTTTGCCAAATGCATGTATTGTCCCTTTAATATCATACAGAATAATTTTCTTGCCCTGAGAAGCCTTGTGCTCCATCTATTCATCCTTCCCCTCTCCCCAGAGTCTCTGACAACCACAGAACAACCTATAGCTATCTGTAGAGTTTTGCTTTTCTAGAGTGCCTTATAGTTGGGCTCATACAGTGTTTAACTGTTTCAGACAGCTATTTTTACTTAGCAATATGTATTTAAAGTTTCTCCATTTCTTTTCATGACTTAGCTCATTTTTTATTACTGAGTAATATTCTATTGTATGGATGTACCACAATTTGCATATTCATTCATCTTATAAAGGGCAGACATCTTGGCTGCTTCCAGTTTTAGGCAATGATGAATAAAGCCACTATAAATATTCATATGAGAGGTTTTCTGTGGACCTACATCTTTAATGCATTCAGGTAAATACTTGAGTGCTGTGCTTGGTTGTATGGTATGAGTATACTTAAATTTGTAAGAAACTGCCAAACCTCTTCAAATATGGTTGCACCTTATTGTAATCCCACCAGCAATGAATAAGAGGTTTTTGTTGTTTCCAATCCTTGTCAGAATTCGTGTTCAGTATTTTGGCTTTTAGCCATTCTAATAGTTGTGTAGTGATATCTTGTTTAATTTGCAATTTCCTAAGAACATATAATGTTGAACAACTTTTTATATGCTTTTTTTATTTATACACCTTTTTGGTGAGGATTATATTAAGATCTTTTGCCCACTTTTTCATAGGTTTGTTTGTTTTTCTACTGCTGAATGTTGAGTCCTTTGTACATTTTGCATACAAGTCCTTTAGATAGGAGTTTTGCAAATATTTCTCCCCATCTGTGCCTTATAATTTCATTCTCTTAAGACTGTCTTTCACAGAGTTAAAGGTTTTAATTTTAATAAAGTCCACTATATTAATGTTTTATTCTTTCACAAATTGTGCTTTTGGTGTCGTATCTAAAAAATTATTGCTAAGCCAGGCTAACCTAAGTGTTTTTTCTTTGCTATCTTTCTAGAAGTGTTGTAGTTTTGCATTTTACATTTAATTTTATGATTCATTTGGGGCTAATCTTTATGAAACCTATAAGGTCAGTGTGTAGATCCTTTTTTTTTTCTCATGTGGATATCTAATTTTTCCAGCATAAAAACACTCTTCTTTGTTCATTCAATTGTCTTTTCTTCTTTGTCAAAAATCAGTTGGGTACTTTTTTTTGTATGTGTCTATTTTTGGCTCCCATTCTGTTTATTGATTTATTTATCTATCCTTTTAAAAAAAACACTTTCATGATTACTGTTGCTAAAGTAGGAGAGTTTCTTTTTTTGACTTTATTGTTTTTCAGTATTATGTTGGCTATTCTGTATCTTTTGCCTATGTGGACTTTATAATCAGTATATTCATATCCAGAGAATAACCTTCTGGAATTTTGATTTAGATTGCAATGAATCTATAGATCAAGTAGGTAAGAACTGACATTTTAACACTGAGTCTCCCTATCATAGGGAGAGATATCCCTAAAATAGAGTATCTCTCCATTTCTTAACTTTCTTTAATTTCTTTCCTCAGTTTTGTAGTTTTCCTTATATTGATCTTGTTCATACTTTGTTCAATTTATAACTAAGTATTAATTTTCCTTTTTAATTTTTTCTTTAAATTTTTGTTTTTGTTTTTCTTTTCTCTCTTTTTATGTTTTTTTTTTTGGCGTTGTGTTATTAATTGCAAGTTCCAATTGTTCACTGCCATTTAGGAAGTTTCAATTATCTATTGTCATGTAGGAAAATATGATACTTCTGTATGTTTACTCCGTATCCCACAATCTTGCTATACTAGCTTACTAGTTCCAGAAATTTATTTCCCTTGATTCTTCGGTGTTTTCTATATAAACAATTGTGTCATCTATGAAAAAAGACAGTTTAATTCCTTCTTAATATTTACCTTTTATTTCTTTCTTTTCTCTTATTGCATTAGCTAGGACTTCCAGTATGATATTGAATAAAAGTGGTGAGAGGAGACACACTATTATAAAAATTATTGTATTAGATTTATATAATTATAATTAGATATATATTTCCGATATAATAATTATGAATATTATAATAGATGATGTGTTTAGAGTGTCAATTACATTGTTGGGAATGCAGTTAACAGTCAATAAACTGTATCCTTTGTAATAAAAAGCTATGATAGCATTGTCTGGTGATATGACTTACATCGGTACTTAATTTTTCAATCTCATTTTCTTCAACTTGGCATAAGAGCTCAGAGTGTTTATTGTGGAGGCAGACAGACAAATGTCTTCTTGTATTCAAGCCTTACCTATTACTAGCTAGTAACTAATTACTAACTTGATCAATGTATTCTTTCTAAACTTCAGTTTGTCATCAAAAGTAGAAATAATAACAGTTACAGTCTCTAAGGGCTGTAGTGATGGTTAAAGTGTTAAATGAGATAGCCCAGGTGAGAGGATCGGCACACCACAAGTTCACAGGAAGGGCTCATGACACGTAAGCTGCCATCGTTTTTTTCTGCTCTAGGATGAGCAAACTTGGGAAGAACTTTTCCGAGGTTGCCTCTTGTTCGGAGATTTTGTCATTTCTCCTTTGACTAAGGACAGGTCTCAAAACGTAGAACTGTGTATGGTGATTGGTTTCATTGAGTATATGGGGACCCCAGTAGGAAGTAGGGAAGAAAGGTAAAGCAAAAACTCCACCACAGACTATGAAAAGGCTGTACAGGGCGGGAATACGCTACCGATGTTTGTGTTTTTGTCTTATCTAAACCAGAAAAGAAAGGTCTAAGGGTACTGGCCATAGGTTTTTAATGTTCTCTCATTTCACACTTGCATACAATCACACCGTCTTTAAATTCTGTGTGCCCTGTAGGCTCCACACAAATGTAAATAGATTATGATAATGATGGTGACTGAGATTATCACACTTTTATTTCAAGGGCAGGAGAAAATGAGTTTTTGTTGGTTAAGAATACAAAGTATGGCTGTTTTCCTTTGAGAAAAATGGTAACATCACCACTATATATTTGCATTTTCTTAAATCAGAAGGCTGAAGTACTGGAAAGTCCTACGTACTGTGTCCCTGTATTCCTGCCAACCACCCTATGTTCTCTTTCATCACCAGGTCATATATTAAAATTTTTTTCGGTTATACTGATGCACTGTTACATTTTATAGAACATTTTTGCTGTAAATAACACTGTACAATATAAATTTGAAAACGAAAAACTTTTAGAATTGAATCAAACATGCATGAGATGTGAGGCCTGGCAAATTTAATTTTTCATAATTTTAGATTTGTCAAGATCCAAACATCTAGATAAATAGAACAATCTTCTTTTGGGGGGTAGTTAAAGGGTAAAATCAGGAACACAGTGCTGAGATGATCTCACCCCTCAGTTCGCAGTATCATTTTATCGTAATTTCATATAGTGTCCCTGCTTTCCATTCTTTGTTACCCACCATGGTTCCATTGCCCTTTCTTTATTGCCATCCACTTTTGTGTGTTAGATGTGGATAATTCCAATTCAGCTTCTATACATTTGTTTTCATATATGTTCATCCACTTAGAATGCATAGTGATGTTTTATGTGTTTTAAGTTTGCTTTCATTGCCCTACTTTATGGATTTAATTTTCTCTTATTTTTCATTCAATATAATGTTTTTAATATTACTCATTTAGTTATTTGTGGCCTTAGTTCTTTCTGCTGAATGATATCACAGTCTACGCATTTACCACATTTTATTTGTTCTTTCACTTTAATAAAAGCACATAGCTTTCCAAAAAGTTTTGCCTCAACAATTAGCACTATGGTAAGTACCTTGCTACATGACAATACATCTATGAACAAGGGTTTATGTAGGGTTACACCTCACAATATTTGTGTGTGTTTATGTAAAGGCAGTAAACACATGGAATAGATGGATACACTAAATTCAGGGTATGTTTGCATGAGATAAGAAATGGAGGGAAATTTAACTGATAGAGTGAACAGAGAAGACTACAACTTGCCTAAAAATGTTTTAACTTTAATAAAAACATCTGAAACAAAATGGTACAATGTGATCAAGAAGAAATTCTTAAAAATAGGCACATGAACTTTTGGCATATTATTCTAGGTGCATTTATATAATTTTTAAAGTTAGATTCATTTCTGCTGTCAGAATTCAGAATCTATTAGGAGACATAGCAAAAAATTACATCACAAAATATAACAGTAAGTCCTACAGTTTAAATGTGCCCAACATATATTGCTTATGTGCATGAGGAAGGTAGGCATGGAGGCCCTAAAACAAAATACATGACTGAGAATAAGCTTCCAAATATTGCTGTATTTATGTGAATTTTGGATTGTTGAGTACTATTGTGCTAGGCATATGGGGAAAATTCAAGGCAAAGGTAACAAGTTGTGAAAAGTATGGAATTTTGGAGTTTTTAGCAAACAGATGGAAAATATTTTATGTGTGTGGAGCAGAATTTTTATGACATGATAGAAAGAGGATGAAATCGAAAGTTCAACCCAGAAAAGTCCTGCCAGGTTGTGCCAGCCAACGGTAAGGCTAATAGACATATTTTTACTCTGTGGGCCAACTAAAGGAGTGTAATGGTGAGAGAAAGATAATTCTCTTGTGTCAGAAAACTCTTACAAATTCTCATCTCTCAGATCAAGATACTGGGCAATTACCTTTTAACAAAATTGACTTCCACTGGAAAAGTATGTTCTTGTTCTGCACTCGTTAATCTTGGTATAGCGTATCGAAAGTGCTGGGCCTTCCTGGCCCTGAAAGAAAACTAGTGAACAGGAAAGGAAACAGGTGCTCTTCAGCTAAGTGTGACATGTAGGTTTCTGCCCTGAGAAATTCTTGACTCTTTCTCTTGTGAGAGTAAGATAACCTTACACAGTGTTTCAAAGGAGAGAGAAAAAACCCATGTCATTATCTTATTCATCTGCACTGGCTATACATGGAGAAGATCAGGTCATACGTTTGCAGTTTATACATGAGTGAGGCCTTTCTGACCACCCTACCTACTGTGAGTCCTCACTGTTGAAAACTTTCCACTAAAGTAAAAAAGCTCATCCATCAAAGATGGGAGGACACTGAGTGTAATATTTCCTAATTGTTTATATCTAGAGTAAAATATAAAAGGAATTTCTTGGGATAAAATAAGTATTGGAGCTGGGCGTGGTGGCACGTTCTTGTAGTCCCAGCTACTAGGGAGGCCTAAAGAGGAGGACAACTCGGGCCCAGGAGTTCGAGGTTGTGATGAGCTATGATCCTGCCACTGTACTCCAAACTGGGTGACAGAATGAGACCCTATCTCTAAAAATAAAATTAAATAAATACTAAATAAGTATTTGTAACATATGCTTTTTACAATTCTGACTCCTTTGGTCAAAGCCATTGTAAGCTAAATAACTAATTAAGTTCACACTTGATAAAGGAAAATGAGTACCCCTGATATTTGGCAAAACATCCTATAAAATAGCAGTATCCATATGGCAAACTGAAGCATATATTCCCTTTTTCTTACAGTCCCACATATATTTCTTTGGAAAACAAAATATCAGCCAAATGCAATTAGGGGTACTTAGGGAGATTAGTATCATCTCAAAACCAAGTGCAACACTAGCAGTATTGACATCTTGATGTGGCAGAATTCTAGAGCAAGAGAGTTAGAACGATTTGCTGAGATTCTTTGGTAGGAGAATGCAGGACATGCAAAATCTGGGTATCTCTCTTATTGGCTCTCTTTTTGTTACCTATGCCTACATAGCAAAAACAAACTACGCCAGAACTTCAACAACAACAATTTTTTAAATATATTTTGTGGTTTAAGAGTCCAAGCAAAGCTTAGTTAGGCAATTCTACTCCACGTAATGTTGACTGGAGTCATTGATGTGTGCAGATGGTGTTTTGACTTGACTGTAGAATCCAAGATGATTGGGACGGCTGGAAGCCTGGGCTCATCTGGGCCCCTCTCTGTCCCCACATGGCCCTTCCAACAGGGAACTTGGGATCCTTCCATGGCAGTTCAGACATCTAAAGAACCAAGACTGTACGAGTACTGTACTACTAGTACTGTATCTACAAACTAGTACTGTATCTACTATACTCTCTGAGCCTAAGTAGTCACAGAGCAGCTCAGATTCAAAGAGAGGGACTCTGACCACACCTCTGTATGGGAAGAGTGTCAAATAATTTATGAGTTTCTTGAATCAGCCCTAACCCTTAAGAGAGATGCAAAAATGTGTTTTCCGCTGTCTAGCAGCCAAGTTTGCACTTGAGAGACAGAACAGTGCCCAGGTAACTGGCAATACTTGGAAGGAACAAGGAGAGGATGCTAGTGATGTGCTTGGTTTTGAGATGATAGTATTTTCCTCAAGTACCTCTAATTGTATGTGGCTGATAAATTGCTTTCCAAAGAAATATACAAAAGAGGAGCTCTCCAGGGACCTGAGTCAGAATCACACCCATCCCATATCAACTCACACTAAACACAGTGCAGAGCAAAAGGCCCAGGAGCCAGGTCTACCCTTCTGTTCCTAGGTATGCAGGGCTGCTGGGATTAAGAGAGGAAAGAGCTTGAGTATCCAACCTGCAGAAATGAGCTTGCATTTAAGATTGCCTGCACCATGATGAATATGCATCAACTCAACAAATACAGGGTCTTATCCTTTATAATATAATTTAATACCATGTAATATAACAACAAAAAGTTTTCAGAAGTATGAATCTCGCCTAAGGCAAAAGAAAAGTCATTTCATCCATATATCTGGATTAGGATATTATGAACAAGGATATAGAGTAGGGAAAAGAAAGTTAAAGATTGTTAAATAATAGGAAAAGAAAGTTAAAGATTGGGAAATAATAAAGTAAAAGATTAGGGAAAAGAAAGTTAAAGATTGTTAAATAATAAAGTAAAATGTTTATTTAAAAAGAGTAGATTTTCTGAATATAAGATTAAATACTGATGAACAGCTCATTATTAAACTAAAAATTAAAGCTCTGTAATTGCCTCAGAATGCAGCAAAATAGCAAAATGATGGGAAATATGGAATAAAGATTCATAACAATCTGAAGAAAGTTCCAGAAAAAAAATAATAGAATGAATAAGGGAGATTCAATACAATAAGGAATAATATGTAACTTTCATAGTGATTTAAAAGGGGAGTAACAATTTCTGGATAGCACAAATTAAATGAAACTCATACCTACACAAATTGTAGATAAACTTTACAATGTTGATTACAGAGTAATGTTCTTAAACTCCAACACTGACAAAATTAATATGTTGTCTATGGAACAGGAGTCACACAGGCATGGGAGGCTGGTGAACACTTTGGTCAAGAGTATAGACTAAAGCCAGTTGGCTGGGATTGAGCCCAGCTCCACCACTTCCTATCAGTATTCCACTGTGAAATTAACATTATGTTTCCACTTTGCTTACTTATAAAATTAGAAAAACAACTACTGCCTTATTAGGCAGTTAGGACCATTAAATTATATAATATTTGTAAAATTATTGGAACAGTTTCTGATATATGGGGTTAGTTCATTGTTACTGTTATTTTCGGATATTTTTGGCAACAGCATATATAAAAAGATTATGAAGCAAAATTTGAGAAGTGTTTGAGAAAATCAATGTTTAACCCAGAACAGCTGAATAATCATTTAAATTTGAAGATGAAATAAAGATGTTTCAGACATTTAAGGACTAAAAAATCTGTCAACTAGTTTCTCTTTGAAAGAACTACGGAAGATATATTTCATTAGAGAAAAGTAATGAATCTCTGTAGATCACTGGAGATGCACAAGTCAATGATGATCAAAGAGATAAATAAAAGTTATAGTTGCCCAAATGAGATAGAGTTGTTAAAATGAATATGTTATTATAATAATAATAACTACAATTCCTGATTTTATCATTAGGAAAGGTTGAAGATGATAGTTACTGTAGGAGGATATAAAATAATATTAAGTTTTAAAATCTTATTCTGAAGCAAAAGAACTGAAATTTGGCTTAAAATCAATATTTTCTAATACTTTAAAAATGATCGAAATCTTCTTGTTAGAGTGAAAAACCGAAATAGTCCAAATACCATTACAGAACATTTCACCATTATAAAAGTACAAGGCTCAGCTTTATAAGTGATGTTTACCATCTATACTTAAAAAAGCAGGTATGTCCACTGAAATTGTCCCCAACACACACAAAATAATATCTTGGTATGATATTAAGAGTCTAGCATAATTGCTATCAAATTCAAAACAAGACAACTTATGAAAGGAAAACTACAAGAGAATATCACAAAAAGACAAATATGCTGAAAGTTATGAAAGAATGACTATTTTATTTTTCTATATATTAAAAATAATAAACCAATGCATTTTATATCAGTAAATAATTAAGTTTTATTAATATAAAATATATCACTGTAATTCAGTACATTAACAAATAAATAAGAAGACAAAAGTCAATGGTCATATAGTTGCATAAAATGTATTTGAAAATTTAAATAAACATTAATTAAAAAAAACTCTTGGCACTCAAGAATAAGTGAATTTCTTTGATATTTTAAGAGCATTGACTAGAAAATATAGAAAACATCATAGTTAAATCTTGAAATAGTAGATATAGTCATTATCAAAGCAGTAAAAAATAAGAATTAAGCTTACTAAAATTAATTTTAATATCATATTGTATCCTTGTATTGTAATTGATGAAGTTAAATGTGGCCAGGTTATTTGCCTGTTGACCATTAAAAAAATGTCAGTAGTAATCAGGTGTAGTAGCTCACACATGTAATCTCAGCACTTTGAGAGGCCGAGGCAGGAGGACTGCTTGAGCCCAGGAGTTCTAGACCAGCCTGGGCAAAACACCAAGACCCCATCTCTGAAAAAAAAAAAAAAATGCCAGTAGAAGTGACTTTTCTCACTTGTATGAATGGAAAAATTAAGAGGCCATGTGCAATTTGTCTTGTTCTCACATCTTGCATGTCAATTGTGGATGCATGTGTTGAGACTGTGTATGAATAATCCTAATCTGAAGAAGCCTGAATTGAGGAGTCACATAGAGAAGACGACTGCCCTGAAGGATTATACAGAATTGCAGAAATTTGGATGAATAATAAACTTCTGTTAACTGCAGAGAGCTTGTGGTGAGCTGTTAGTACAGCAAAATTTCACTTAACCTGACTAATATAAAATGCCTAATACTTGGAAGAAAAAGAAATTTAAATTATTTCAAACATTTATGATTATTTATACAAGAAAGAAAATAATGAAATAAGACATAAAGAATTAGTGCAATGAGTAGGAAGTAGGCACAAACATGGTAGGTATTAAACCAACTACATTTTACAAAATTATTTTAATTTTGAGTGGTCCAAATAACACTATTAAAGAGAGAAGCTGTCTGAATGGAAAACAAATGAACAAACAAACAAGGCCCAATTACGATTGTTTACAGGAAACACACTTTTAACATAAAGATTAAAAGAACAGGGATGGAGAAAATATGACATGCTAACATTAATTTTAAAAAGCGAGAGTAGGTATATTAATTTTAAACAGAGCAGACTTCAGAACAAAGAAACTTATCAGGAGTAAAGAGGGATTACATAACGATACATAATTACACAATGATAAAGGGGCCAATTATCTAAGAAGCTGTAAAAATTCTTAATGTGTATGCATCTAACCACACATAATCAAAATACATAAAGCAAAACCTGATACAGCTGAGAGAAAAAAATAGACAAATCATCTATTATAGTAGGAGGTTTCAACATGTTTCTTTCAATAAGTAACAGGTAAAGTAGGCAGAAAATCTGAAAGAATATAGTTGACTTGAACAGCATCACTAGTAAACTGGATGGAATTGACTTATATAGAATATGCCATCCAACAAAAGCAAAATATGCATTCTTAAGCTTGCATGGAACATTCACTAGAATCAATCACATTTTGGAGAACAAAACCAATTTTAACAAATTTAAAAGAATAGAAATAATCAAAGCATATTCTCAGATCACAAGAGAATGAAACTAGTAATTAATAATAGAAATATGGCTGACATATCTCCAAGTAATTGGAGATTAAACATATCTTACCTAGCAAATAGTTAAACAAAAAGCATTTTTAGCTAAGTGAAAATAAAACAACTTAGAAAGTTTGTGGTATGCCATGGAAGTAGCAAACGAGGAAAATTTTTAGAGCATTGAATGCAAATCATAGAAAAGATGAAATATATAATACCAATAATCTAAATTTCTACCCTAGGAACTTGAAAAAGAGGAGTAGTTTAACCTTAAGAAAGCCTATGGTAAGAAATAATAAAATTATAGCAAAACTCAGTGACATTAAAGACAGGACATCAATAGAGAAATCAACAAACTAAAAGCTTGTTCTTTGAAATGATGAACAAAATGGACAAATCTCTACCAAGAAAAATGTAGAGAGATAAAAATTACTAAAATCAGAAATTAAGTGAAGGGGGTTGTCATTACTACTCATCCAATGACATCAAAAACTTAACAAAAACATTTTACACAAATTTGATAACATAGATGAAATGGATCAATTTTTTGAAAGACACAAACTAACCAAATCCATGTAAGAAACAACAAATAATCACAAAAGTCCTGTCACTATCAAAAAAATTTTAAAAAGAAATAATACCAATTTTTTACTTTCTAACAGAATATAAAAAGCAGAGTACACATTTCCTAACTTATTCCATGAGGCTAGCATTATACTAATAACAAATCCGAAAAAGACATTATAAAAAAGGAAAAATTCTGACTTCTCTCATAAACTTGGATGTGAATATCCTCAACAAAATATTATCAAATCAAATAAAACAATGTATAAAATAATTATATATCACAACCACCTGGAATTTATTTCAGGTATGTTAGGCTGCATCAACTTTTAAAAATTCGTACAATCCACAGGCTAAAGCAGAAAAATCAAATAATATCAACTGACACAGAATAAATATTTCACACAATCCAACACCCATTTATGATAAAACTCTCAGCTCACTAGGAATGAAGGGGAACTTCCTCAATTTGATAACAACAACAAAAAAATAAAACCTAAATCTACCTTCTTACTTCATAAGGAAAACTGGATTATTTTCCTCTGAGATTGGGAAGCAAGGCAAAAATGTCTTCTCTTATCATTCATATTCAACATAGTATTGGAAAAATTAGCTAAAGCAGTAAGACAAAAAAATAAATGCAATGTATATATTTGAAAAAATGAGCATTTCTTTGTTTTTGGATAATATAATTGTCTATTTAGAAAATCTCAAATCAATTAAACAACGTCTGAAACAAAAAGTGATTTATCAACATCTAAATTGTAAGGTTAATATTCAAAGGCAATTGCTTTGCTTTATACTGGAAATGAAAAATTTGAATTTGAAATTAAAAACACAATACCATTTACATTAGCATAAAAGAAAAAAATCTTAAAATAGACAGTTTTAACTACACAAAGATTCCTATAAACCTCATGTTAACCACAAAAGAAAAACTTGTAGTAGATGACAGAAATAGAAAAAGGAATCAAACCAAACTACCACAAAGCAATAATCAAATAACAAAAGAAAGCAGCAACAGAGAAACAAAATAAATGCAAAACAGACAGAAGACAATTTTTTAAATGGCAATAGTAAGTTCTTATTTATCAATAATCACTTTAATATAAATAAATTAAATTTTCCAATAAAAAGACACAGAGTGGCTGAATGGATTTAAAAAATGGAAATAAAAAGCATGATTTTTGTATACAAGAGACTCAAGACAAAAGGAAACACCTAGACTAAATGTGAAGAGATAGACAATGATATTTCATGCAAATGGTAGAGACGAGAGAGCAGGAGTGGCTAAACTTATATAAGAAATAAAAAAAATCTAAGTAAAAAACTATCACTAGAGACAAAAAGGACTTTATATAAGGATAAAAGTTCAAGTTAACAAGAAGATATAGCAGTTATAAATCTGTATGCACCCAACCTCAGACCACCTAAACATGTTAGAAATGTTTGACAGATCTCTCTGGTGGCAGGGTGGAGCCAAGATGGCTGAATAGGATCAGCTCCCATCTACAGTGCCCAGCTTGAGCGAGGCAGAAGACGGGTGATTTCTGCATTTCCATCTGAGGTACCGGGTTCATCTCACTAGGGAGTGCCAGACAGTGGGCACAGGACAGTGGGTGCAGCGCAATGTGCACGAGCAGAAGCAGGGTGAGGCATTGCCTCACTCGGGAAGTGCAAGGGGTCAGGGAGTTCCCTTTCCTAGTCAAAGAAAGGGGTGACAGACGGCACCTGGAAAATCGGGTCACTCCCACCCGAATACTGCCCTTTTCTAATGGGCTTAAAAAAAGGTGCACCAGGAGATTATATCCTGCACCTGGCTGGGAGGGTCCTACACCCACGGAGTCTCGCTGATTGCTAGCACAGCAGTCTGAGATCAAACTGCAAGGTGGCAGCCAGGCTGGGGGAGGGGCGCCCGCCATTGCCCAGGCTTGGTTAGGTAAACAAAGCAGGCGGGAAACTCGAACTGGGTGGAGCCCACCACAGCTCAAGGAGGTCTGCCTGCCTCTGTAGGCTCCACCTCTGGGGGCAGGGCACAGACAAACAAAAAGACAGCAGTAACCTCTGCAGACTTAAATGACCCTGTCTGACAGCTTTGAAGAGAGCAGTGGTTCTCTCCCAGCACGTGGCTAGAGATCACAGAATGGGCAGACTGCCTCCTCAAGTGGGTCCCTGACTCCTGACACCCGAGCAGCCTCACTGGGAGGCATCCCCCAGTAGGGATAGACTGACACCTCACACGGCCAGGTACTCCTCTGAGACAAAACTTCCAGAGGAACGATCAGACAGCAGCATTCGCGGTTCACGAAAATCCGCTGTTCTACAGCCACCACTGCTGGTACCCAAGCAAACAGGGTCTAGAGTGGACCTCTAGCAAACTCCAACAGACCTGCAGCTGAGGGTCCTGTCTGTTAGAAGGAAAACTAACAAACAGAAAGGACATCCACACCAAAAACCCATCTGTACGTCACCATCATCAAAGACCAAAAGTAGATAAAACCACAAAGATGGGGAAAAAACAGAACAGAAAAACTGGAAACTCTAAAAAGCAGAGCGCCTCTCCTCCTCCAAAGGAATGCAGTTCCT
The DNA here is from genome assembly GCF_000001405.40 of Homo sapiens. Taxonomy (NCBI): domain Eukaryota; kingdom Metazoa; phylum Chordata; class Mammalia; order Primates; family Hominidae; genus Homo; species Homo sapiens. The sequence continues at coordinate 40,582 of NW_025791781.1, read as the reverse complement.
CACCAGCAACGGAACAAAGCTGGACAGAGAATGACTTTGAAGAGTTGAGAGAAGAAGGCTTCAGACAATCAAACTACTCTGAGCTACAGGAGGAAATTCAAACCAAAGGCAAAGAAGCTGAAAACTTTGAAAAAAATTTAGACGAATGTATAACTAGAATAACCAATACAGAGAAGTGCTTAAAGGAGCTGATGGAGCTGAAAGCCAATGCTCAAGAACTACATGAAGAATGCAGAACCCTCAGGAGCCGATGTGATCAACTGGAAGAAAGGGTATCAATGATGGAAGATGAAATGAATGAAATGAAGAGAGAAGGGAAGTTTAGAGAAAAAAGAATATAAAGAAACGAACAAAGCCTCCAAGAAATATGGGACTATGTGAAAAGACCAAATCTACGTCTGATTGTTGTACCTGAAAGTGACAGGGAGAATGGAACCAAGTTGGAAAACACTCCGCAGGATATTATCCAGGAGAACTTCCCCAATCTAGCAAAGCAGGCCAACATTCAGATTCAGGAAATACAGAGAACACCACAAAGATACTCCTTGAGAAGAGCAACTCCAAGAAACATAATTGTCAGATTCATCAAAGTTGAAATGAAGGAAAAAATGTTAAGGGTAGCCAGAGAGAAAGGTTGGGTTACCCACAAAGGGAAGTCCATCAGACTAACAGCGGATCTCTCGGCAGAAACTCTACAAGCCAGAAGAGAGTGGGGGCCAATATTCAACATTCTTAAAGAAAAGAATTTTCAACCCAGAATCTCATATCCAGCCAAACTAAGCTTCATAAGTGAAGGGGAAAGAAAATACTTTACAGACAAGCAAATGTGGAGAGATTTTGTCACCACCAGGCCTGCCCTAAAAGAACTCCTGAAGGAAGCACTAAACATGGAAAGGAACAACCAGTACCAGCCACTGCAAAATCATGCCAAATTGTAAAGACCATCGAGGCTTGGAAGAAACTGCATCAACTAATGAGCAAAATAACCAGCTAACATCATAATGACAGGATAAAATTCACACATAACAATATTAACTTTAAATGTAAATGGGCTAAATGCTCCAATTTAAAGACACAGACTGGCAAATTGGATAAAGAGTCAAGACTCATCAGTGTGCTGTATTCAGGAAACCCATCTCACGTGCAGAGACACACATAGGCTATTTTGAGGCTTTTATTTTGAAAAGGATGGAGGAAGATCTACCAAGCTAATGGAAAACAAAAAAAGGGCAGGGGTTGCAATTCCAGTCTCTGATAAAAACAGACTTTAAACCAACAAAGATCAAAAGAGACAAAGAAGGCCATTACATAATGGTAAAGGGATCAATTCAACAAGAAGAGCTAACTATCCTAAATATATATGCACCCAATAGAGGAGCATCCAGATTCATAAAGCAAGTCCTGAGTGACCTACAAAGAGACTAAGACTCCCACACAATAATAATGGGAGACTTTAACACACCACTGTCAACGTTAGACAGATCAACGAGACAGAAAGTTAACAAGGATACCCAGGAATTGAACTCAGCTCTGCACCAAGTGGACCTAATAGACATCTACAGAACTCTCCACCCCAAATCAACAGAATATACATTTTTTTCAGCACCACACCACACCTATTCCAAAATTGACCACATAGTTGGAAGTAAAGCTCTCTTCAGCAAATGTAAAAGATCAGACATTATAACAAACTGTCTCTCAGACCACAGTGCAATCAAACTAGAACTCAGGATTAAGAAACTCACTCAAAACCACTCAACTACATGGAAACTGAACAACCTGCTCCTGAATGACTACTGGGTACATAACGAAATGAAGGCAGAAATAAAGATGTTCTTTGAAACCAACGAGAACAAAGACACAACATACCAGAATCTCTGGGACACATTCAAAGCAGTGTGTAGAGGGAAATTTATAGCACTAACTGCCCACAAGAGAAAGCAGGAAAGATCCAAAATTGACACCCTAAAATCGCAATTAAAAGAACTAGAAAAGCAAGAGCAAACACAGTCAAAAGCTAGCAGAAGGCAAGAAATAACTAAGATCAGAGCAGAACTGAAGGAAATAGAGTCACAAAACACCCTTCAAAAAATTAATGAATCCAGGAGCTGGTTTTTTGAAAGGATCAACAAAATTGATAGACTGCTAGCAAGACTAATGAAGGAGAAAAGAGAGAAGAATCAAATAGACGCAATAAAAAATGATAAAGGGGATATCACCACCGATCCCACAGAAATACAAACTACCATCAGAGAATACTACAAACAACTCTACGCAAATAAACTAGAAAATCTAGGAGAAATGGATAAATTCCTCGACACATACACCCTCCCAAGACTAAACCAGGAAGAAGTTGAATCTCTGAATATACCAATAACAGGCTCTGAAATTGTGGCAATAATCAACAGCTTATCAACCAAAAGGAGTCCAGGACCAGATGGATTCACAGCTGAATTCTACCAGAGGTACAAGGAGGAACTGGTACCATTCCTTCTGAAACTATTCCAATCAATAGAAAAAGAGGGAATCCTCCCTAACTCATTTTATGAGGCCAGCATCATCCTGATACCAAAGCCTGGCACAGACACAACCAAAAAAGAGAATTTTAGACCAATATCCTTGATGAGCATTGATGCAAATACCCTCAATAAAATACTGGCAAACCGAATCCAGCAGCACATCCAAAAGCTTATCCACTATGATCAAGTGGGCTTCATCCCTGGGATGCAAGGCTGGTTCAATATATGCAAATCAATAAATGTAATCCAGCATATAAACAGAAACAAAGACAAAAACCGCATGATTATCTCAATAGATGCAGAAAAGGCCTTTGACAAAATTCAACAACCCTTCATGCTAAAAACTCTTAATAAATTAGGTATGGATGGGATGTATCTCAAAATAATAAGAGCTATCTATGACAAACCCACAGCCAATATCATACTGAATGGGCAAAAACTGGAAGCATTCCCTTTGAAAACGGGCACAAGACAGGGATGCCCTCTCTCACCACTCCTATTCAACATAGTGTTGGAAGTTCTGGCCAGGGCAATTAGGCAGGAGAAGGAAATAAAGGGTATTCAATTAGGAAAATAGGAAGTCAAATTGTCCCTGTTTGCAGATGACATGATTGTATATCTAGAAAACCCCATTGTCTCAGCCTAAAATCTCCTCAAGCTGATAAGCAACTTTAGCAAAGTCTCAGGATACAAAATCAATGTACAAAAATCACAAGCACTCTTATACACCAATAACAGACAAGCAGAGAGCCAAATCATGAGTGAACTCCCATTCACAATTGCTTCAAAGAGAATAAAATACCTAGGAATCCAGCTTACAAGGGATGTGAAGGACCTCTTCAAGGAGAGCTACAAACCACTGCTCAATGAAATAAAAGAGGACACAAACAAATGGAAGAACATTCCATGCTCATGGGTAGGAAGAATCAATATCGTGAAAATGGCCATACTGCCCAAGGTAATTTATAGATTCAATGCCATCCCCATCAAGCTACCAATGACTTTCTTCACAGAATTTGCAAAAACTGTAAAGTTCATATGGAACCAAAAAAGAGCCCGCATTGCCAAGTCAATACTAAGCCAAAAGAACAAAGCTGGAGGCATCACGCTACCTGACTTCAAACTATACTACAAGGCTACAGTAACCAAAACAGCATGGTACTGGTACCAAAACAGAGATATAGATCAATGGAACAGAACAGAGCCCTCAGAAATAATGCCTCATATCTACAACTATCTGATCTTTGACAAACCTGAGAAAAACAACCAACGGGGAAAGGATTCTCTGTTTAATAAATGGTGCTGGGAAAACTGGCTAGCCATATGTAGAAAGCTGAAACTGGATCCCTTCCTTACACCTTACACAAAAATTAATTCAAGATGGATTAAAGACTTAAACATAGACCTAAAACCATAAAAACCCTAGAAGAAAACCTAGGCATTACCATTCAGGACATAGGCATGGGCAAGGACTTCATGTCTAAAACACCAAAAGCAATGGCAACAAAAGACAAAATTGACAAATGGGATCTAATTAAACTAAAGAGCTTCTGCACAGCAAAAGAAACTACCATCAGAGTGAACAGGCAACCTACAGAATGGGAGAAAATTTTCGCAACCTACTCATCTGACAAAGGGCTAATATCTAGAATCTACAAAGAACTCAAACAAATTTACAAGAAAAAAACAAACAACACCATCAAAAAGTGGGCAAAGGAGATGAACAGACACTTCTCAAAAGAAGACATTTATGCAGCCAAAAAACACATGAAAAAATGCTCACCATCACTGGCCATCAGAGAAATACAAATCAAAACCACAATGAGACACCATCTCACACCAGTTAGAATGGCAATCATTAAAAAGTCAGGAAACAACAGGTGCTGGAGAGGATGTGGAGAAATAGGAACACTTTTACACTGTTGGTGGGACTGTAAACTAGTTCAACCATTGTCGAAGTCAGTGTGGTGATTCCTCAGGCATCTAGAACTAGAAATACCATTTGACCCAGCCATCCCATTACTGGGTATATACCCAAAGGACTATAAATCATGATGCTATAAAGACATATGCACACATATGTTTATTGTGGCAGTATTCACAATAGCAAAGACTTGGAACCAACCCAAATGTCCAATAATGATAGACTGGATTAAGAAAATGCGGCACATATACACCATGGAATACTATGCAGCCATAAAAATGATGAGTTCATGTCCTTTTCAGGTACATGGATGAAATTGGAAATCATCATTCTCAGTAAACTATCGCAAGAACAAAAAACCAAACACCGCATATTGTCACTCATAGGTGGGAATTGAACAATGAGAACACATGGACACAGGAAGGGGAACATCACACTCTGGGGACTGTTGTGGGGTGGGGGAGGGGGGAGGGATAGCATTCGGAGATATACCTAATGCTAAATGACGAGTTAATGGGTGCAGCACACCAGCATGCCACATGTATACATATGCAACTAACCTGAACATTGTGCACATGTACCCTAAAACTTAAAGTATAATAATAATAAAATAAAAAAAATAAAAAAAAGAAATGTTTGACAGATGTGAATGGAGAAATTGACAGTAATACAATAACAGTAAGAAACTTTAATACCCCATTTCAATAAAGGATAAAATATCCACCAAAAAATCAGTAACAGACAACTGACTTGAACAACATTATAAACCAAATGAACCAAGTAGACATATACGGAAATGTCCAGCCAACAGCAGCCAAATGCACATTCTTCTCTAGGGCACACAGAACATTATCCATAATAGATTACATGTTAAAGTGAATATTAACAAATTTAAGAAGATTGAAATTATGCCAAGTATTTTCTCAGATCATAGTGCAATGAAACTAGAGAGCAATAACAGAAACAAAAAGGACAATTCACAAACACAGAAAAATGAAATAACACATTCTTGAATAAAAACTGGGTAAAGGAGGAAATTGAAAGAAAATTTAAAAATACATCAATGCAAAGAAAAATGAAAATACAACTTACTAAAGCAGCCATTACAAAAAACAGTATAGAATTTCCTCAAATAATTAAAAATAGAACTACTGTGTGATCCAGGAATCCCACTTCTGGGTATATATCCAAAGGAATTGAAAACAGGATCACAAAGAGATATATGCACTTTCATGTTCATTGGAGAATTCTTCACGACAGCCAATATACGGAGATAACCTAAATGTCTTTTGTCAGTTGACTGGATAAAGAAAATCTGATGTACAGAAATGTTGAGTGTTACTGCACTTTGCTTTTTTGTGCTTCACAGATTGCATCTTTTCAATTAAATGTTTGTGGCAACTTTGCTGTGGAGCAAGTCTGTTGGAGCCATTTTCCTGATAGCATGTGCTCATTTTGTGTCTTTGTGTCACATTTTGGTAGTTCTCACATATTTAAAATGTTATCATTATTATTATAACTGTTATGGTGATCTGGGATCAGTGATCTTTGATGTTAGAATTGTAATTATTTTGGGGTGCCATAAACTGTGCTCATATAAGACAGCAAACATAACTGATATATATTGTGTGTGTTCTGACTACTCCACCAACCAGCTCTTCCCCCATCTCTCTCCCTTTCCTTAGACTTCCATAATTCTTGGCTACAACATTATTAAAATTAGGCCATAATTACCCAGAGTGTTCAGATGAAAAAAGGAGTTGAACATCTGTCACTTTCAATCAAAAACTAGAAATGATTAAGCTTAGCAAGGAAAGCATGTTGAAAGCAAAGACAGGACAAAAGCTAGGCTTACCATGACCAACAGGTTGACTTTCTTACTGGAGGCTAATGGAACTGGTGACTCTAAGTTGAAATCAATGCTCATTTACCATTCTGAAAATCCCAGAACTCTTTAACAATTATGCTAAATCTATTCTGCCTGTGTTCTATCAATGGGATAAAAAAGCCTGGATGACAGCATGGCTTATTGAATATTTTAAGTCTACTCTTGAGACCGGCTTCTCAGAATAAAAAATGATTTTTTTTTCCAAACTATTATTACTCATTGACAATGCACCTAGTCGCCTGGAGCTCTGATGGAGATGGACAAGGAGATTAATATAATTTTCATGCCCACTAACACAACATCCATTCTGCACCCCACAGATCATTGAGTATTTTTTTACTTTTGAGTCTTATTATTTAGGACATACATTTTGTAAGGTTATAGCTGCCATGGATTGTGATTCCTCTAATGGATCTGCACATAGTAAATTGTACACCTTTCAGAAAGTATTTACCTTTTAGATATTAAGACCATTTGTGATTTATGGAAGGGGTTAGAATATCAACATTAACAGGAGTTTAAAAAAAGTTGTTTCCACCCCTCATGAATGACTTTGAGGGGTTTAGTCTGCAGTGGAGGAAGCAACTGCAGATGTGGTAGAAAAGCCAGATAACTATATTTAGAAGTGGAACCTGAAGAAGTGACTGAATTGCTGCAATCCATTATCTAACATGAACAGGTGAGGAGCTGCTTCTTATTGATTAGCAGGGAAAACAGTTTCTTGTCATGGCGTCTACTCCTGGTGAAGATGCTGTGAACATTGCTGAAATAATGACAAAGAATTTAGAATATCATATGAATTTAGTCGATAAAATAATGGCAGGGTTTGAGAAAATTGAATTCAATTTTGAAATAAGTTCTACTCTGGGTAAATTGCTATTCAACAGCAGAGCTTTTGGGTGACACTACTTCCATCAGGTGATCAAGATCAAAGTTAATAGTGATAAGTCAGGTTAATAATACGTAAACTTGTTATAATGTGATAAAAACCATACTATACTTCTGTGGTCTTCTTCCCACACAGTCAAGTGATGAGAAAAACATTAGATGAATTCTAATAGAGAGTCATCATTCAATATACCTGACTGATACTCCTCAAAATGTCAGGTAATCAAAAACATGGAAAGTCTGTGAAAAGGCACAGCACAAAGGAGCTCTCTCTCCTGCCATGTGACATGGCTGCTCCCAATTTACCTTCCACCATGATTGTAAGCTTCCTGAAGTCCTCACCAAAAGCAAATGTCGGCACTATGCTTCTTACAGAGTCTTCAGAACCATGAGCCAATTAAGTCTCTTTTCTTATAAGTTACCCCACCTCAGGTATTTCTTTATTGCAGTGCAAGAATGACCTATAGAGAAAATTGGTTCCAGAAGTGAGGTATTGCTATAAAGATACCTGAAAATGTGGAAGCAGCTTTGGAACTGTCTAGCAGGCAGAGGTTGGAAGAGTTTGGAGGGCTCAGAAGAAGACAGGAAGACGAGGGAAAGTTTGGAACTTCTTAGAAACTGGTTAAATGGTTGTGACCAAAATGCTGATAGTGATATGGATAGTGAAGTCCAGGCTCATGAGATTTCAGATGGAAATGAGAAACTTATTGGAAACTGCAGCAAAGATTACCTATGTTGTGCCTTAGCAAAGAGCTTGGCTGCATTCTGTTTGTGACTTAGGGAATCTGTGAAAGTTTGAACTTCAGAGTGATAATATAACGTATCTGGCAGAACAGCTTTCCAAGCAGCAAAGTATTCAAATGTGGTCTAGCTGCTTCTAAAAGTCTATTCTCAGATGCAAGAGCAAAGACATGCCTTTAAGTTGAAAGTTATATTTAAAGCAGAAGCAAGTTGTAAAAGTTTGGAAAATTTGCAGCCTAGCCACATGACAAAGGGAGAGGAATTCAAACAGGCTGAGGAGCAACCACTTGATACAGAGATTTGCATGACTAAAAAACAACCAGGTGCTAATAGCCAAGACAGTGGGAAAAAGGCCTGGAAGGTATTTCAGAGATCTCTCAGACAGCCCCTCCTGTCACTGGCCCTAAGGTCTAGGAAAACTAAATGCTTTCATCGGTCCAGTCCAGTGCTCTGCTACCCTGTGCAGCCTCTGGACACTGCTCCCCACATCCATGCCACTCTAACTCCAGCCTGGACTCAAAAGGCCCCAGATACAGCTCATGCTGCTGCTTCAGAAGGTGCAAGCCATGAGCCTTGGTGGTTTCCATGTGGTGTTAAGCTTGCAGGTTTGCAGAATGCAATGGTGAAGAAGGCTTGGCAACCTCTGCCTAGATTTCAGAGGATGTATGAGAAGGCCTGGGTGCCCAGGCAGAAACCTGCTGCAGGGGCACAGCCCTCCTGGAGAACCTCTACTAGGGCAGGACAGAGGGGAAATATGGATTTGGAGAGCCCGCACAGAGTCCCCAATGGGGCACTGCCTAGTAGAGCTGTGGGAAGGAAGGAGGCCACTGTCCTCCAGGCTCCAGAATGGTAGATTCAGCAGCAGCTTGCACCCTGAGCCTGGAAAGCCACAGGCACTCAACTTCAGCTTGTTAGAGCAGCTGCAGGGGCTGTATCCTGGAAAGCCACTGAGGTAGAGTTGCCTAAGGCCTTGGGAGCCAACACCTTCCACCAGAATGTGGCACGTGGAGTCAAGAGTTATGTTGGAGCTTTAAGATTTAATGACTGCCCTGCTGGGTTTCAGACTTGTGTGGGGCCTGTTGCCCCTTTCTTTTGGCCAATTTCTCACTTTTGGAATGGGAATATTAAAACAATGCCTGTAATCCCATTGTATCTTAGGAGTAAGTAACTAGTTTTGATATTATAGGCTGGTAGATGAAAGGGACTTGCCTTGTCTCAGATGAGACTTTGGATTTTTGAGTGATGCAGAAACAAGTTGAGACTTTTGTGAGACCATTAGCAGGAGGTTATTGTATTTTGCAGTGTGAAAAGGACATGAGATTTGGGTATGGGGTACAGGGGCAGAATGATATAGTTTGGATATTTGTCCTTGCCCAAATCTCATTTTGAAATATAAGCCCCAGTGGTGGAGGTGGAGCCTGGTGGGAGGTGTTTGGGTCATGGGGACAGATCTCACATGGCTTGGTGCTGTCCTCACAATAGTGAGTGAGTTCTCACAAGATCTGGTTGCTTAAAAGTGTGTGGCACCTCCCACTTCTCTTGTTCCTGCTCTCACAATGTGTTGTGCCTTTTCCACCTTCACCTTCCACCATAATTGGAAGGTTCCTGACACCTCACCAGAAGCAGATGCTGGTACTGCACTTCCTGTACAGCCTGCAGAACCATGAGCCAATTAAACCTCTTTTCTTTTTGTAAGAGTTAAAGAAAGAGGAAAGAAACACAAAAAGCAGCTCAACAGTCAAAGACAGGTTTATTTTGGAGAATAAACCTGAGAGGGGCTTCTGGCCGATTTCGGTCAGGAGCACTCTCTCTTAGAGACTAAGAGTATTTATTGGAGAGAGAGCTTATTACAAGCTTGGAATGTTTCTGTGTGGAGGAGAAGTTTATGGTGAGGTTGAAATGTCTCTGGTTGGAGGGGAGGTTTTCTTGGTGCTGACATCTCTCTGGCTGGAGGGGAGGTTATCTCTGAGCTGGCATGTCTCTGGTTGGGGAGGGGTTTGGAATGTTTCTGGTTGGAGACGTCATTTGTGGTTTATGGTCATGCTGACCTTAGTCATTAGGCTGATGCCCCTTGGATTCAGGCAGTTTTTGATCAAGGTGAACTTTAGAATAGTGGTGCTTGTCCAAGATGGCATTGCTCCTGCTGTGTCACTTATAATTAATTTATCCAGTGTTAGGTATTTCTTTATAGAAACCCAAGAACAGTGTAATACACTACCATATTCATGTAAGAATTTAATAACAAGAAAAACAATATGTGTGAGGAGTGTGAAGCCACTCTCCACTCAGTTTTGCTGTAAATATAATTGTCTTCTAAAAAATAAGTCTATTAATTAAAACAATAGGTAGTGGTCAAATGCCAAATCAGTCTTAGAGTGAGAATTACAAAAAAAAAAAAAAAAATAGAAAGTATTCTAAATTGTGCAATTAGGAGAATATCTAATTTTGAATTGTGCCACCTAATTGAACACCTAATTATGAATTCTGAATTATGCCATTAGAAGATCATTGTAAGTACATTTTAGCGAAAATGATGGTTTAAAAGTCAGAAAGAAAATGAGCATTCCAGTGGCAGCAGGCCTGTAGCACACAGAATACATTTTCAAGGATAACGTGGTGATCTTATTCATAGTTTCCTGCTTCCAAGTCTATTTACCAAACTAGACTGTAAACTTCCTGAAAGTAAGTGTTGTAATTTTTTGTGCAAGTCTCCAGTAGAGTGAGTTACTCATGTTACATGTCAATAAATATTTTCCAACCCATAAAAATCATTAATAAACAATCCCACCGTTTGCCATGGTGTTTGAAGGAACCAGTATTCCTTCAAGCTCACTACTTTGAGGGGTGTTTTTGAGCTTTCCATAAAATATTTTCATACATATATCAATTTCATATTTTAAATTTGGTAGGACTGTCAGTAAAATTTATTCATATTACTGAAGCTGTCACTTTGCCTATTTCTTTTTTTAGCTACAACTGTTCAACTTTGAGAGAATGTGAAGATTCAGATCTCTATCTAAATAAGTTTAATTATATTTTGTTTAAAAATTTTTAAAAACTTGTTTCAATGTTTTTTTTCTGAATCAATTTTAAACTGTAAAAACAAGAAACTTTAAATAAGCAAACACCTCCAATGAAAATCCTTTGTGTGGGCACGCATGGATGTCTGGTAACAGAGAGGCCCATTTAGCTCAGGCCTCTACTGATAGTGCATCAACACACAGGCCAGTCACCTGTTACATAATATACGTACATATGTGCATGTATGTGTGTGTGTACTTGTATGAATACATGTTAATATTTAGAGAGATCCTATAAAATGGCAAGCACTAATGTCATCCTTGCTAGCCCTATTGGTAGTATATATTCTTATTCAAAGTAGTTCTGATTAGAGAAATAATAAGATAGTGTATACATCTGAGGGCTTCTGTGTCATATATGAATAAATCAATATTTGAGAGGGCTTCTGTGTCATATATGAATAAATCAATATTTGAGGCCTGGTAAGAAATGAACATCCTGTGTGAATTCCTGGGAAGATTTAGTTTACACAGGCTCTACATCCTTGTTTGTCAAGTGGTAACAATTATTTTACCTACTTATGTGGCTCATGTGAGTATTATGTGTGACTGTGTATGAAGGAGTGAATACACAGCCTTACATATCAATACTTCAGTGATATAGTATTTTTATTATTATAATGTTGTGAATATGTCTTTTTTGTTTCCCTGTACTCTCATCAAACAGGAGTAAGTTTGATACGACAAAATTCTAGAGGGAATGCACTTTTCAGAAACCAGCATAAAAAGTAACTCCTCAGAGATAATTCAGATATCCAAATATATTTCATTTCTCACCCCAAGTATTAGGAACAGAAAAACAGAAATCCCAAACACTATGAAACCATGTGGCTAATGTCAGTTCTTACCCAACCACTTCAAATGTAAGTCAGTGCATAAACAGCCACAAAGGAGAATTTAAGAAGTCTCAAACAAGATATTCTTTCTGTTCTAATTCAGGGCAGCATTTATGATCATTAGTGCAGCGAGTCTATGATCTTGCTTAGTTCTTTGTCAAAGAATCATTAAAAGCATTGAAATTTCAAAGTATAAATGGTTCTATAACTTCCTAGTTCTTTGATCATATTTTTATCTTCTAATGTAGCATTTTAAAGCAAAATTTAATAATGGTGAAAGCCAGCTGACATTAATTATGCTTTCTAAATCATGAACAGTCTTCTAACTTACTTCAGTGTCAATCAGGAGCCCAGCTTAAGAACTGGTTTATATCACCTATTCGTAATAATGGTTGCACCCTCATGAAAAGACATTTTACTTTTGTATGCATACTTGTGTCACATAAAGTTATGATAATGAAAAAGTAGGACAGATATTTTTAGAATTTTCACAATCCTTAGTAAAATCAGTACAGATAGTTGTTTGACAAGTCCATATTATCCATGCTGATTACCTAGCTGTTTTAGAGCACTTTAATAACCTGGTAAGCTCAATAAATATGTAAAAAAGAGACTACCACGTCTTACCCTAATTTCAGAAGTTTTATAGATCTTCTATTTTTTTTACAAATTATTTCTGTTTAGGATTCAAGTTGAAATATCCCAACATATTGTGGATAATTGGCAATTACTTCACTTATAACATTTTAAAATAATCTGCATAAGACTGATATCTTTAATATTTTAAATAGCAACTTATGATCTGATGTTTTTAATTGACCAAAAATATTTAGATAAACTATCTTATGCCAGGAGAAATGACAATAGGGAGGAGTTATTGATATATAACTCAAAATCAATCATAGACTTAAATGTAACATGTGAAACTATAATAGTTCCAGAAGATAACACAAGAGAAAATCTACCTAAGCCTGGGTTTAGCAATGAATTTTTGGACAGTCCCAGAAGCACAATCTATAAAAGATAAAACAATAACGTAGTGGATTCTTCATAATTAAAAACTTCTGCTCTGTGAAAGACATTCTTTAAAGAATGAAAGTACAAGCCACAGGCTGGGAGAATATATTTGCAAAATATGTATCTAAAAAATTTAAGAAGAAAAACAAACTCATGAAAAATGGACAAAAGATCTTAACATACTCCTCACCAAAAAAGATTCAAGATAAAAAATAAGCATAGGATGAGATCCTCAATATCATATGTCATTAGAAAAATGCACATCAAAATAAGTGAGATCTCACCACACACCTATTAGAATGGCTAAAAGCCCAAAGATTGACAGCACCAAATGCTGTCAATGGTGTAGAGCAATGGGAACTCTCCTGCTCTGCTGATGGGAATGCAAAATGGTGCAGCCACTAAACAAAACAGTTTGGGAGTTTCTAACAAAATTCAACATACTCTTACCACACAATTAAGAACAACACTCGTAGGTTTTTACCCAAATGAGTTAAAGATGTATGTCCACAAAAAAACATACATACAAATATTTATGGTTGCTTTATTCATCATTACCAAAAATGAAGCAACCAAGATATCCAATAGGTGAATGGATAAGCAAACTGTGGTACATCCATGCAATAGGATATTATTATTCAACAATAACAAAATGAGCTATCAAGCCATGAAAGACATGGAGGAACCTTAAATGCTTGTTGCTATGTGAAAGAACCTAGTCTGAAAAAGTTACATACTGTATGTTTCCAACTATAAGACACTCTGCAGAGACAATTAAAAGTTCATCAGTGGTTGTCAGGGACTCTGGGGAGAGTGGAAAGGATGAATAGATGGAGCACCAGGCTCCTCAGGGCAGTGAAACTAGTCTGTATGATACTGTAATGGTCAATACATGCATTTTCAAAACCCAAAGAACTTTACAACACAAAGAGTGAATTTCATGTAGTTTAGAAATATATAAATATACAGTCATCAATTTTCGCAATGTGCTATACTAGTGCAAAATGTTAATAACAGGGGATACTGTGGGGCAGAAAGAGGGTATGTGTGAACTCTCCATACATCCTGCTCAAATTATCTATAAACCCAAAACTGCTTTAAAAATAAAATGTATAATTAAAAAAAAATTAAAATGAAGAACTCGGGCCATGACATGATTACTTAACTACCTGAAGTTTATGTAGCAAGCTGAAAGAAAACAACCTGTTTTCCTGTCTGTTCCATTAACCAATATTACACAGCAAAGTGCCCAGGACTAACTCATATGCCAAGTCCAGAGAGTTCCATAGACCTTCGTTTTGCCGCTTGTCCTCAGTTGTTTCTGGTTCCTATCTCTCTCATCTTAGAATCAACACCACATTGTACTTTTATAATCTACTCATATTTCTGAAGAGTGAATCCCTGTTAGATAACAAGCCAAGCATATCACTTCTTTAAACTATCGAGTCCTGAGAGATCTTCACCAGTTCCTTGTGGACTAGAAGCCCTTCCCAAGGGATATACACGAGGGCTCACTCACTTGACAATGTAATTTATTTGCCTGCTTCAATTTCCACAAGTTGTTCCATGTATTGTTGGATCTAATATGCTTGTTTCTATGTTTAACTCAACTGTCTAGATTTCCAAGTTTCCTGAAAATGTATAATGTATAAATGGTTAAAATTCATTCAATTCAATACTTATTTCAGAAGTAAAAAAAATTCCCCCATTTCTCTCTCTCTCTCTCTCTCACACACACACACACACACACACACACACCACATCTAATTGAGTTTTTCAAGGTAGCCAGCCAACACTTAATTGGGATTGTATTTTTAGATTAATTTTCTGAGAATTTATATTTCAAAATGATCAATGGAATAATTCTTCATCTATTCATTTTGACTTATTTTTATTATTGTAGTTGTAAAGCCTTCTCTGTGGATTTTATGTATCTTCTTGGTGAATAACTTCCTAGAAACGTTACAATTCTATTGCCTCTTTAAAGGGTATCTTACATTTCTGAATTAAAATTACCAGTATGCATGAGTTTTCATAGTTAAAGCAATGGAAACATTTTTTATCTCACTTATTAGTGCCTATTGCTGTCTGTTGTTTCTGTTGGCTATTTCAGTTAGCTAGGTCCTATATTACCTCAAAATAAAGGTAGTTCAATCTCTTTTCTTCTAGACTATACACCCTTATTTGTTTCTCCTCATAACATTTGCCAGGAATGGCAGCATTCTACTAAATAGATGAGGTGAGAGTGGATATTCTTGCATTTTTTTCTTATTGTAAAGGAGATGTCTCAAATGGTTCCCTAATAAGCATATAATTATGGTTCTGTTATCTATCTATCTGTCTATCCATCTACCTATCAACTATCAATCTATCATCTATTTTCCTATTTGCGTCCTAAAAATTTCTGCAAAGCTGTGGAAGTTCTTTACCATTCCTAGTTTGTTGAAATATTCTATAATTGGATGGCCAGATGATTTTTTTACCTGCATTGATAGAAAAAATTATATTTTCTTTATATTAATTAATGTGATAAATTATATTTCTGATTTTAAAACATCTTGAAATTTCTGGGATAAACCTCAATTGATTATAATTGATTATATTTCATTTGTATTTAGTTAGCTAATATTTTATTTATGTGTTTTGTATCTATATTCGTGATTGAAATGATAATTATATTTGTTGTCTTTAGGGTACACTTTACCTCTCTTTAGGGTACACTAGATTAAAAAATGAAATTAGAAGTTATAGCTATTTTATATATTGCATAAGATAAGAATTAATTTTTAATTGGTAAGGTTCACCTGGAAAATCATCAAGGCCTAGGGACTTAGGGGACTTGGAGAGGTTGTTAGTAATATTTTCATTTATTTACTTAGTTTATTCAAGTTCTATAGTTTTATGCCAAAGTTGACATGATATACATTTATAAATCCTATTTTAAATATTTGTAGATCCGATTTTACCTAGGTTCTCAAATTCGTTAGCACTCAATTGTTGATAATATTTTCCTTGTTATTATTGATGCTCTTCTATGTCCATATTTTCTTTTTTCTATTCAGCATTGCATTTGTGTGCAACCTTCCTTCCTTTCTTTTTTTCTTCCTTCCTTCCTCCCTTTTTTTTCCCTCCTTCCATTTTTTTCTTCTTTGTATTTATAAGCAGTCTTGCTGGAGTTCTTTTTACTGCATTCCCACTGAAATAGATACAATTATTATATAATAGACCGACAGTACTAAATGCCGGTGAGTATGTGGAACAACTAAAATCATATGTATTATTCCTGGGAAAGTAAAACAGCACATATGTAGGCTACGGCGACTCCATTTTGGATGCTAATTTGCCATACTGACTTCTGATTAACTCCAGTTCCGAATGAACACCTGGAAGATTTCTACTTTATCCACTGTTCAGTGTAAGGGCACATAGTTATCACAAATCCTGCTCTTAAGTGAATTATAGGCTGTGTTGCATATAGCATTCTTTTGTTTCCTTAAAGCATCAACTTTGGTTGTCCTACCTATTTCTTCTGAAGCATGCATACCCTTTCACTAAAGTATATAAGCTCCGGGTCTTGGGGTGACAGTGTGAAGATCTAGCTACCTTAGAGCCACCCAAGACTACACTTCTGACCCTAAGTTCCCTAATGAAGCATCTCTACTGTCAAACTGGCTTTGTCTGCCTCATTGTTTGCTTTCTCTGCTCCTTCTGCATTTGGGGGTTGCTTTGCATATATAGCCCTTTCGCGAAACAGCATATCTAGTTACTTGGAAAGCATTTAGCTGTTTCTTAAATAGCTAAACGTGTACTTCAAATTCAGCGCAGCCATTCTATTCCTAAAATTTACCTAACAGAAAGGACAACATTTACTCACACAAATATCCATACTAGCTTTACTTTTAGTAGTCAAAGACTGGAAACAACCCAGATGTCCATCAGCTGAAAAATACATTAACATGCCATGTTCTGTTTATACAATGAAATACCACTTATTCATGAAAACCACAACTGCAAAGAATAAAAGTAACCTATTAATACAAGCCACAGTGGGGATGAGTCTCTAAGTCATTAAGATGAGTAATGGAAGCCAAACAAAAATACGTATTTATGTAATTCTATTTATATAGAATTCTAGAAAATGCTACCAATTCTCTACTGAGGGTAGCTTCTGCTCCTGAAACAATTATCCTTCCTTCTCCTTCCAGCAGGATTCTGTGTCCTCGTTCCACACCAGCCCCCAAGGCAGGTGATGTTGTCCCAAGGCTCAGCAGCACAGATGCTGGTGCAGAACAGAAAAATGGCCGACAATGTTATGCATTTATTTGTTTGCTTTATGGCTCCTAGGATGTTTGCCATGTGTGTAGGGGCTGTGTCTGATTTACTCAGAATTGAAACTTCGATCATGGCATTATTAGACATTAAATAATCATGTGTTTAACAAATTATAAAAAATAATGTAAATTTGGTTTCCTCTTAATGCCTTTATTTAGCAATCCTAGGAAATCAACTCCAATGATACATCACTTATTCTCACAATGGTTTTGCAGGCTGACTTCTGAGCAAATGGAGAAACAAAGGCACAAGATGGGTTTGGGCTAAGTCACAGCACACCCCTGGCTGGTTTGCTTTGGTGTCACATGACCTGTGTCCTGGAATGTGTGGAGGACAGCCTGGAGTCACTGGAGCCCTGCAGACCCTCTGTGGGTTTGCCTGTGCATATCTGGTTCTGATGGTGGATGATGTTCAATTTTAAAATGGATTTTTCAGCCTGGCGTGGTGGCTCACTCCTGTAATCCCAGCACTTTGGGAGGCTGAGGCTGGTGAATCATGAGGTCAAGGGTTCGAGATCAGCCTGGCCAATACAGTGAAACTCCGTCTCTACTAAAAAAAAAAATACAAAAATTAGCTGGGCATGGTGGCACATGCCTGTAGTCCCAGCTACTCGGGAGGCTAGGGCAGAAGAATCGCTTGAACCCAGGAGGCAGAGGTTGCAGTGAGCCAAGATCATGCCACTGAACTCCAGCCTGGGTGACAGAGTGAGACTCCATCTCAAAAAAAAAAAAAAGACTTTAAAATTGTTTTCCATCAATAAACTCAGTGGAATGTCCATCATATTTGCTATCAATTATGTTCCCTGCCTCTGGTTTTCAGCATAGTGCCAGTGTGTGTTTAAGAATATAACTTTACAACTATTTGTGGAAAGTTGAGAGAAAGATGCCAGGTAATGCCAGATTAAGACAGAACAAAAGTTACTCTTAAGATTTCTCCTGCTTTTCTTTTTTTTATGATTTTACTTTGTACTCATGACTTAAACATTCTAGAATATGATTTCAGAATCAAAACAAGTCCACCATACTCTGACCTGGGTCAAGTTTTCAGCACAGGCTATTTTCTAGTAACTAACCTCTTTCCTTCCTTCCTTCCTTTCTTTTTTCTTCTTATTTTCCTTTCTTCTTAATGTAGTAATTATTTATCTTCATTTATAATTATAAAAATTATATAACCTAAAGAACAATTCTCAAAAAACATAAAATATGGCGGAAAATTACTTGTAATTTATATAGTATATCGATATATGATGTCCTAGTCATTTTGTTGCACACAATGTAGGAATAAATATAAAACACTTTACTATAGTCTAAAAAGTATTAGAATAGTCCTAATATAAGTGGTGGCAGCCATCTATTACTAATGTGTTTAGAGTGACTTGTCAGCGAACTTCTTGTATAAGCAAGGTTATGTATTAGGCCCACTCTTGTTACAGGTTAATGAACAGATTTATGTATACTTTAAAGGATAGAAAACTTTGGAGTTTTGAACTGTCAGCCTGAGCGTCATTATGCACAGTGGAAAGGGACGGCACCATGGAATATGCAGCAAATAAGACGTTAAGAGAAGTACAGCAAATGGTGAATCTCTGTTAACGTTACCTGCCAAGGAGATTTAGGGTGACTGATCTTCAAATAAAAAATCTTTCCTATTTTACATTATCCTGTAGTCCCTTTCTAGTAAGCCTGAATGTTTGTTCATACAACAGCCCAGTTATAAACACCTTCATGAATGAAGGGGAAAAGAATTGTTCAGCACTTGGAGCCAAGTACAGCGAGAACATAAAGTGGCACTCAGAATCATGCTGAGAGCCAGACGAGAGAAATGGATTGTGGAGATGGAAGCGATACCCCTTTGGAAAAGTTCTGAAATAACAATGAGGAGACTGGCTGTCTAAAGTACTTGGTTTACGATTGAATATTTATTTAAGTGATTAAAAGAAAGAGTAAACATAAAGTTAAAATATTTATTACCTATGCATATTTAAGTCTATTATATACTTAAAAAAATAGACTAGACTTGGTGGCTCATGCCTATAATCCCAGCACTTTGGGAGGCTGAGGTGGGAGGATCGCTTGAACCCAGAAGTTCAAGACCAGCCTAGGCAACATGGTGAGGCTGAGGTGGGAGGACTGCATGTGCCTAAGAGGTGAAGGCTGCAGTAAGCCACGACTGAGTCATTAGCCACTGCACTCCAGCCTACATGATGGAATGAGACCCTGTTTCAAAAAAAAAAAAAGAAAAAAGTTGACAATAGGTCATAAGCACATATAAACACAGCATTCATACGTAATAATATGATCTTATCATTTTAATGAGCCTTGTCAAATTTGCATAAGCATTTAAATGTCTGTTGCTTTTTCTTTAATACTTTAAGTATTAATATTTTAATGGGTTTCTTTTTTTGATATATGTCCCTTATTTTAAAATACATTTCTGTAAGTGACATTGTGGAGTAAGTCATTTAAAAATACTTGAGGCTTTTAATGAATGTTTCCAAATTTCCTCTAGATTATGTGCCCAAGTATACATTTTCCAGTATCATGTGTTACATACAACAGGCTTATTAGTAACCGTGTTAGTGAAAAGTTGCAATAAAATAATAATCAGGTAGGGGCAGGGTTAGGCATGTAGGAGCTCAGACACTCCTAAGGACATAATCTCTTGGGAGCTTTATGGCCCTGCCCACCATCTGAGAAACCTGAATACTTATCCAAAGACAACCCTCAAGCAAGCTTGTCTTCTCCCTATACAATCATAGCTGATGTGGTCTTGAAAGTGCAAATTCCTGGCTGGAGGCCAACCAACACAAAACCAGCGCACTTAACAAAAATACAACCAAGGACCCTCACAAAGTCTACTTCACTCCCTAGCTACCTCCACTAGTGTAGGTTCTGGCATCCACGGATGAGGAATCTGAAGACGGATCACATAATGGGACTCTTTGCAGACACTCCCCACTACTATCCCTGTAGCACTGCTGGGTGGCTAGATCCAGAAGAGCAAAAACAATCACTACAGTTTGTCTCTCTCAAGCCACATGCCTAAGAAAAAGGGAAGAGCACCACATCAAGGGAGCACCCCATGGGAGAAAAGAATCTAAACAGCAGCCCTTGAGTCCCAGTCTTCCCTCTGACATAGTCGACCCAGATGAGAAGGAACCAGAAAACAATTCTGGTAATATGACAAAACAAGGTTTTTTAACATCCCCAAAAGATCACACTTGCTCACCAGCAATGGACACAAACCAAGATAAAATCTCTGAATTTCCAGAGAAAGAACTCAGAAGGTCGGTATTACACAATTAAGAAGGCACCAGAGAAAGGTCAAATCCAACATAAAGAAATAAAAAAATGATACAGGATATGAATAAAAAAACTCTAGTGAAATAGATAGCATAACTGAAAAACAATCACAACTTCAGGAAATCAAGGACACACTTAGAGAAATGCAAAATGCACTGGAAAGTCTTAGTAATAGAATTGAACAAGTAGAAGAAAGAACTTCAGAGTGCAAAGATAAGGCTTTTGAAATAATTCAATCAGACAAAGACAAAGAAAAAATAATTTAAAAAATGAACAAAGCCTCCATGTAGTTTGGGATTATGTTAAATGATGAAACCTAAGAATAATTGGCATTCCAGAGGGAGAAGAGAAATCTAAAAGTTTGGAAAATATATTTATATTTGAGGGAATAATCAAGGACTACTTCCCCAGCCTTGTTAGGGATCTAGGTATTCAAATACAAGAAGCTCAAAGAACAATTGGGAAATTTATCACAAAGAGACCATCGCCTAGGCACATAGTTATCTAAAGTCAGGTTATCTAAAGTCAAGACGAAGGAAAGAATCTTAAGGGCTATGAGGCAAAAGCATCAGGTAACCTATAAAGAAAAACCTATCAGATTAACAGTAGATTTCTCAGCAGAAACCCTACAAGCTAGAAGGGATGGGGCTCCTATCTTTAGCCTTCTTAAACAAAACAACTGTCAACCAAGAATTTTGTACCCACAGAAACTACAATTCATAAATGAAGGAAAGATACAACTTTTTCCAGATAAACAAATGCTGAGATAATTAGCCACTAACAAGCCAGCACTATAAGAACTGCTAATAGGAGCTCTAAATCTTGAAGCAAATCCTCAAAATACACTAAAATAGAATCTCCTTAAAGCGTAAATCTCATAGTACCTATACAACAATAACACAATGAAAAAAAGCAAGGTATTCAGGCATCAAATAGCATGATGAATAGAATAGTACATCACATCTCAATACTAATGTTGAATGTAAATGGCCTAAATACTCCATTTAAAAGATAAAAGATAGCAGAATGGTTAAACACTTACCAACCAAGTACCTGCTGTCTTCAAGAGACTCACCTGATATATAAGGACTCACATAAAATTAAGGTAAAGGAGTGGAAAAGGTACTCCATGCAAATGGACAACAAAAAAGGGCAGGAGTAGCTATTCTTATAGCAGACAGAACAAATTTTAAAGCAATAGCCATTAAAAAAGACAAAGAGGGATTATATAATGATAAAGTACTAGTCCAACAGGAAAATATCACAGTCCTAAATATATATGCACCTAACACTGGAGCCCCTAAATTTATAAAACAATTACTACTAGATCTAGGAAATGAGATAGACAGCAACACAATAATAGTGGGGAACGTCAATACTCCACTGAAAGCATTAGACAAGTCATCAATACAGAAAGTCAACAACAACAAAAAATGGACTTAAACTATATCCTACAACAAATGGACTTGATAGATATTTACAGTAGTACATTCTACCCAACAACTGCAGAATATATGTTATATTCATTAGAATGGAACATTCTCCAAGATAGATCATATGATAGTCCACAAAACAAGTCTCAACAAATTTAAGAAAATCAAAATTACATCAAGTACTCTCTCAGACCACTGTGGAATAAAATTGAAAATCAATTACAAAAGGAACCCTCAAAAACATGCAAATACATGGTAATTAAATAAAATGCTCCTGTATGACCATTGGGTCAACAATGAAATCAGGATTGAAATTTAAAATTTCTTTGAACTGAAAAATAATAGTGACACAACTGATCAAAACCTCTAGGATACAGCAAAAGCAGTGCTAATAGGAAAGTTCATAGCATTAAATGCCTACATCAATAATTCGGAAAGAGCAAAATAGACAATCTAAGATTACACCTCAAGAAACTAGAGAAACAAGAACAAAGCAAACCCAAACCCAGCAGAAGAAAATAAATAACCAAGATCAGAACAGAACGAAGTGAAATTGAAATAGAAAAAGAAAATACAAAAGATAAATGAAACAAAAAGCTGGTTCTTTGAAAAGATAAATAAAATTGATTGACCGTTAGTGAGATTAATGAAGAAAAGAAGGGATAAGATAAAGAGCTCATTTAGAAATAAAATGGGAGATACTACAACCAATACCACAGACATACAAAAGGTCATTCAAGGCTACTATGAATACCTTTATGTGCACAAACTAGACAACATAGAAGAGATGGATAAATTCCTGGAAATATACAACCCTCCTAGATTAAACCAGGAAGAAATAGAAATGCTCAACAGACCAATAACAAGCAGCAAGATTGAAATGTTAATTAAAAAGCTACCAACAGATAAAAGTCCAGCACCAGATGGATTCACATCTGAATTCTAACAGACATTCGAAGAAAAATTGGGACCAATCCCTACTGACATTATTCCAAAAGACAGAGAAAGAGGGAATCCTCCCTAAATTATTCTATGAAGTTATTATCACCCTAATACCAAAAACCAGGACTTAACAAAAAAAGAAAACCACAGACCAATATCTCTGATGAACATAGATGCAAAAATCCTCAATAAAATACTAGCTAACAGAATCTAACAGCATACCAAAAAGATAATCCACCATGATCAAGTGGGTATCATGCCAGGAATGCAGGGATGGTTTAACATCTGCAAGTCAATAAATGTGCTACACTATATAAACAGAATTAAAAGCAAAAATCACATGATCATCTCAATAGATGGAGAAAAAGCATTTGAAAAAATCCAACATTGCTTTATGATTAAAACCCTCAGCAAAATTGGCATAGAAAGGGTATACCTTAAAGTAATAAAAGGCATCTATAACAAACCCACAGCCAACATTATACTGAATGGGGGAAAGTTGAAAGCATTCCCCTTGAGAATTGAAACAAGACAAAGATGCCCACTTTCACCACTTCTATTCAACATATTACTGGAAGTCCTAACCAGAGCAATCAGACGAGAGAAATAAATAAAGGGCATCCAAATTGGTAATGAGGAAGTCAAATTGTCACTGTTTGCTGGTGACATGATTGTATACCTAGAAAACTCTAAAGACTCATCCAAAAAGCTCCTAGAAGTGATAAATGAATTCAGTAAAGTTACAGGATACAAAATTAATGTACACAAATCAGTAACTCTGCTATACACCAACAGTGACTGAGCTGATAATCAAATAAAAAATTCAACCCCTTTTATGATAGCTGCAAAAAAAAAAATACTTAGGGATATACTTAACCAAAGAGGTGAAAAATCTCTATGAGGAAAACTACAAAACACTGCTGAAAGAAATCATAGATGACACAAACAAATGGAAACACATCCCATGCTCATGAATGGTTAGAATCAATATTGTGAAAATGACCATACTGCCAAAAGCAATCTACAAATTCAATGCAATTCCCATCAAAATACCACCATCTTTTGGCCAGGTGCAGTGGCTCACACCTGTAATCCCAGCACTTTGGGAGGCCAAAGTAGGTGAATTGCTTGAGGTTAGGAGTTCAAGATCAGCCTGACCAACATGGTGAAAACCTGTGTCTATAATCCCAGCTACTTGGGAGGCTGAGGTAAGAGAACTTCTTGAACCTGGGAGGTGGAGGTTGCAGTGAGCCAAGATTACTCCACTGCACTCCAGCATGGGTGATAAAGCGAGACTCATTCTCAAATAAAAAAAAAATACCACTGTCATTCTTCAGAGAACTAGATAAAGCAATCTTAAAATTCATATGGAACCCAAAGGAGCCTGTAGAGCCAAAGCAAGACTAAGCAAAAGGAACAAACTTGGAAGCATTATGTTACTCAAACTATATTCTAAGGCCATAGTTGCCAAAAGAGCATGGTACTGGTATAAAAATAGGCATATAGACCAATGAAACAGAATGGAGAGCCCAATACAGCCAAATACTTATAGTCAACTGATCTTCAACAAAGCAAACGAAAATTCAAAGTGGAGAAAGGACAGCCTATTTAACAAATGGTGCTAGGATAATTGGCAAGCCATGCAAGGAAGAATGAAACTGGATCCTCATCTCTCACTCTATACAAAGATCAACTCAAGATAGATGAAAGACTTAAATCTAAGACCAAAAATCATAGAAATTCTGGAAGATAACATTGGAAAAATCCTTTTAGACATTGGCTTAGGCAAAGACTTCATGGCCAAGAACACAAAAGCAAATGCCAAAAAAAAAAAAAAAAAAACTGAAAAACAACCAAAAAAAAAAAAAAAAGATAAAGAGATGGGACTTAATTAAACTAAAAAGCTTCTACAGAGCAAAAGAATTAATTAGCAGAGTAAACAGACAATCCACAGAGTGAGAGAAAAATCTTTGCAATCTATATCTGGACTAATATCCAGAATCTACAAGGAACTCAAATAGTGAGAAAAAAACAATCCCATCAGAAAAGTGGGCTAAGGACATGAATAAATAATTCTCAAAAGAAGATATACAAATGGCCAGCAAACAAATGAAAAAATGCTCAACATCACTAATTATCAAGTAAATGCAAATCAAAACCACAATGCGATACCACTTTATTCCTGCAAAGATGGCCATAATAAAAAAATAAAAAAAAATAGATGTTGGTGGAAATGTGGTGAAAAGGGAACACTTCTACACTGTTGGTGGGAATGTAAACTAGTACAACCGTGATGGAAAACAGTGAGGAGATTCCTTAAAGAACTAAAAATAGATCTACCATTTGATCCAGCAACCCCACTCCTGGGTATCTCTACCCAGAGGAAAATAAGTCATTATATGAAAAAGATACTTGCACACCCATGTTTATAGCAGCACAATTTGCAATTGCAAAAATATGGAACCAGCACAAATGCTCATTAATCAACGAGTGGATAAAGAAAATACACACACACACACCATGGAATACTATTCAGCCATAAAAAGGAATGAAATAATCGAATTTGCAGCAGCCTGAATGGAATTGGAGATTCCATTATTCGAAGTGAAGTAACTCAGGAATGGAAAACCAAACGTTTTATATTCTCACTCCTAAGTGGGAGCTAAGCTATGAGGATGCAGAGGCATAATAATGATACAATGAACTTTGGGGACTCGGGGGAAAGAGTGGGAGGAGGGTGAGGGATAAAAGACTACACATTGGGTGCAGTGTACACTGCTCAGGTGATGGGTGAACCAAAATCTCAGAAATCACCAGTGAAGAACTTACTCATGTAACCAAACACCACCTGTTCCACAAAAACTTATTGAAATAAATAAAAAAATAAAAACAATAATAATCATCATAGTCACTTCCTGATTAATTTAAAACAGATGTCACTTCTTAGAATTTGACTTGCCCTTTTAACATTTTATGGCCTAAATCACTAGCCATTTTGAAAATTATTATTTGCCAATCTTTAAAATATTGACCACTGCTATAAAAAAAAAAACACAACAAGGCATGTCCATTCCTTTAAGTCATTCATAAAGGTGCATATTACCTATTCAATGTATTACCTGGAAGTTGCTATTTTTGTAATCCATGTCAATATGCCAGTTATTCCATTATCCTTATAAACTTGTGTTTTTGTTTGTGTTTTGGTCATTAGGATCAGTACTGTCTTTAGAAATGTGGCAAGAGGGTTCCCTGCTCTAGGTCTGGTGCTTCAAGCTATATGCCTTGGCTCCAAGGACCTGGCCCACCAAGCCTCCAATTTCCCTTCTAGAAATCATTTTGGTATGCAGGACTCACAATTCCTTACAAATTGGCCCTATCCAACTTCTGGTACCAGCATGGCCTGACCCCCTAAAAACGGATTGCAGGACTATTGAGTGCACCCTGGGCCTGAAGGTTGGCCAAGACAAGACGAAGGCAAGGGGGAGGGGGCGGGAGATCACCTGTCTGTGCATGAGGCAGCTCATGGTGTGGAAGAGCCATGGTGTGGCAATATCAAGGGCTGAATGCCTAGCTGGCATAAAGAAAAGCTGTTTATCCTGCAGTCTCATTGAACTCATTTCTATAATACATACACAGTCACCTGAAGGCCATAAAACAATCCTATTGTCACTTCTTTTCAGTATTGTATCATTTTCCCACAGCTTAAAAGACTGCATATGCAATTTTAATAGTCTGTGTCTGGAGCTGAGATTATATGTGATTATATATATATTTTTTTCTGTTCCCTTTTCTTTTAAAAGTTAGGTTTAGAAACACACATACTTATGAAAAGTAAATCTTTAATAAAAAATTGAGATGGACTAAACTTTGCTGGAAAATGAAAAGGGAAATAAAGCAATATTAATACCTGATAAAGAAAGATTCAAGGCAAAAGAAAATCAAAAGGACAAAAAGGTTATTTTATATTGATGGCATAGAGTCTACAGTGAAAATTTGATCACCTTCAAGCAGAATACTGAAGGATATAATACAACATCTCTTTTCATTGCATAGGAATATTGACTCAAATGCAAAGAATAACATAATAACATAAGATGTTAAGATTCCTGTAAGTCACCAATGGATCAAAAAAACTAGTTCTAGTTCTATTAATTTGTACTTATTTATTAAAAATATACACTCTAGACTGAGATATTAAATAGTATTTGAATGCTCAAAAGCGTTTCAAAACTAACCGTTTCCCAAGAATAACAATAAACTTCAAAATCCCCAACACAGAAATTATGCAATTCAATATATCTAACCACAATGAATAGAAGTTGATGTTGCTACTACAAATGTAAAACAAATTACATGAAAATTTACAAAATAATAACAAAAAACACACTGTCTCTTAAATAACCCTCTGGTTAATATTGAGAGAAAGTCACTGGGGCTAATGTGAAAAATTTGCAGTAGAGGAGGAGAAGAATATCTGACTAAATAAGCTGATTGTTTAAAAAAGTTATATTAATCTTTTTTTTTTTTTTTTTTTGTGGCAAAGTTTTGCTCTTGTTACCCAGGCTAGAGTGCAATGGCGTGACCTCGGTTCACTGCAACTTCCGCCTCCTGGGTTCAAGTGATTCTCCTGACTCAGCCTCCCGAGTAGCTGGGGTTACAGGCACCCGCCACCATGCCCGGTAATAATTGTATTTTTAGTAGAGACGGGGTTTCACCATGTTGGCCAGACTGGTCTTGAACTCCTGACCTCATGTGATCCACCTGCCTTGGCCTCCCAATGTGTTGGGATTACAGGCTTGAGCCACCACGCCTGGCCTGAATTTGATCAAGCATTTAATTCATTCAAACTTTTCTTCAAGTGCATCTTTTTAGGTGGATACATTTTCCTGTGTGTGACTTATAATGTTGCACCAGGAAAGATATTAAGAGCTGTAGCATAGCCCTGAGGAGAGCTACTGGGGGCCTCTGTGAATACACAATTTTTTATGTTCCTCAGGCTACAACAAATGCTATTAGTGTTGCCTGTCTTTTCAAGCCATTGCTCTACAACTCTGCTGTCACATAATTAAGATTAAGTAGAATCATTTAGTTATGCTAAAACACTGTAATGTTGATTGTTTTCATATGAGCCACAGATTTGGACTGACACACATCAGTTACAGTAAATAAGAGAGCAAAAGTATAATAGAGATGGTCATATTCCTTCACACCCATCTTCCTGTCTTCCTGCAACCCCTTCCTGCCTCCGGTTTTTCCTTTGTTCCTTCTCTCATTTCTTTGTTTCTCTCTTATAGAATCCAATGTGGTTTCCTCCAAAAACCTGAAATCTGATTTCATTTGCATCCCTGTGTCTCACAGAATGAACTTACGGTCTTAACAATTTAATCAATTCCAAGCAACCTACGAAGCAACAGAATATTAGCTTTCAAAGCTTGAATGTAGAGAAGAATAAACGTGTTATCCAAAATAAGTTCAGCTTTGAAACTTTCCGTTCTCTAATTATTTTAAATTCTGTAACTTTCTAAAATAATTCTGTTAAAAAATTTTTTTTTCTCAAAAGTATTTCTTATAGCTTTTACAAAGATGGTTTTACAAATCTTTATTGAGATTTGTTTACATATGGATAAAAGACAAGCTAAATAAATGACCTCTCATCCTTTATGATCCAGGTCAGTACAGTAAACTCTAGACCTAAACATCATGGTCTCATCTTCAGAACTTAAGAACATTGCCTTTGATTCCAAATGTGCCCACTCACCTATGCATGTAAAGACAAAAATCCTCATACCTGGACTTTTCTTATTGGCTCCTATTTCTGACAAATGCTAAGGCTAAAGAAGAAAATCAAGGAAAATTATCTATTCCTATAACCTACAATGTGTTTGTGTGAATACTAATTTTAACAAATAATAATTTGGTGATTTGGTTTCAATGTGTGCACAAATTTTACCATCAGAAATGGTTTTAGTTACCATATGAACTCCTTTAGAAAAGAAATTGCTCAGTAGATTTCCACATTTGTATTTTAAAATGGCCCTAAGTGTACAGCAATGCATTGTCAGGAAAGATAACCACAAAGAAGAGTATCATATTAAGTGAAATATGCCAGGCACAGAAGGACAAATACCATATGATCTCACTCATGTAGAATCTAAGAAAACTGATATCATAAAAGTAGAGAACAGACTAGTGGTTGCAAGGGGCTTCGTGACTGGAGGTGGGGAATTGGGGAGATATTGATCAAATGATACAAAATTTCAATGACATAAGAGGAATAAGTTCAAGAGATTTATTGTGTAGCATAGCGACCATAGTTAACCATTTGTTGCAGTCTTGAAAAATGCTAGAAAAATGCTAAGCCAGTGGATAGAAAGTGTTCTCAGTACACAAATGATCACATGTGAGGTGATGCATGCTCGTTAGCTATATTTAATCATTCCACAATGCATATACAATATACACTTCAAGACATCATGTTGCACACAATAAATACATATAATTTTATCTGTCAACTTGAGTAAAAATAAATAATAAAAAATAAATTTTATTTATTTATTTATTTTTGTTTGTTTATTTTTTGAGACAGAGTCTTGCTCGTCACCCAGGCTGGAGGGCAGTGGCGCGATCTCAGAGCACTGCAACTTCCGCCTCCCAGGTTCAAGTGATTCTCCTGCCTCAGCCTCCCGAGTAGCTGGGATTACAGGTGCCCACCACCATGCCCAGCTAATTTTTGTATTTTTAGTAGAGACAGGGTTTTGTCATGTTGGCCAGGCTGGTCTCAAATGCCTGACCTCAAGTGATCCACACATCTCAGCCTCCGAAAATGTCAAAATTATAGGTGTGAGCCGTCGTGCCTGGCCAGAAGAAATTTAAAAAATAAAATAAAGTAAGTGAAATTCTCTTCATGAAAAATACAAATAACCTATGAACTCAACCACTCAAATTGGTATACAAATGTCTTTTCTTTTCTGTGCATAAAATATGCACATAATAAAAATATACAGAATTTTTATTTTTCATACTGTATAATATACAAATTATCTAATATTGATTTAATTAATTAATAACATAATTTCTTTCCAAGGTTGATATTTATAGAACACAAGACTTGCGAGAATGAGATGTTACCTTTTTCTTATTTATTTATTTATTTTTTTGGAATTTTAAGTTCTTAAGATGAGACCATGAAGTTATAGAGTTTACTATATTCTCCTGGATCATAAAGGATAATAGGTCATTTATTTAGCTTGTATTTCGTCCTCATGTAAGATAAGCTTAAGAAAGCTCTGTGTGGTTGCAAGTATTCCTGTCTATTCCACTCTTCATAATACAATTCCCAAAGAAAAGATTCTCTGAAATTAAAAACAACACAAACACTGGGCAAAAAAAGTGTCTCAAAACTTTATTACAATTTCCAAAAATAAGAAAGAAAAGTATAAATCACCTTATAGTTTTTCTCTCCACCAATGATTTTTCCCAAGTCTAATCTGTTCAACGTATTTCCGTAGGAGTAATTTTTTTGGAAAAAACTTCAATTTGGACCTGTAACTTTCCTTCAGAGCTTGAGGTGCTCCTACATTACACACAGAATACAGCCCCAGCTCAGATATAACGCTCGAATCCTCAGAATTTGATTGCCATCTTTGCTTCAGACTTATCTGCCCTTTCTCCCTGCTACACCAGTCTGAGCACCAGGCTACTTGAGGGTCCCGAATCCTGCTGAAGTCTTCCTACTGTCTCTGGCATCACCTAGTTGTCCTTGTTGTTGGTGTTTCCGTTCTGATCTACTCATTTTCTGCTCAGCAAATGTGTACTCACACCTCAAGGCTTAGCAAGAGCTACATCTTTTAAAAGTCTTCTCTGATCCATGCTGACTGAAAAGACTGTCCATAAAAAACAAAGGATGGAGTGCTGCATGCCAGCTGTGTGCCAGGGCTGCTGTGGGCTTTCACATGCTGTGGCTTAATCCTCAAAGACAGACAGTACAGTCAAGTTAATCCTAACTGCCAACAAGAAGAGTGGGTTCGGAAGTGTTGAGCTGACTCATCATGTTGTCATTCAGCTGATTGCATGAGACCTCACACTATTTTCAGAACTTTTCTATTAAGCCTATTGATGTGTGTTTTATTGGCTCTTCTTCCTCCCCGAAACCCTTGAAGCCCTGGTCTGGAGAGACTTTAATTTATCATGCACATCAGGTCAATTCTAATAGTGAAAGGAGATGTGTCCTTTTAATAATTAAATCAGGTTAATATTCATAGCATTCAGAACTTTCTTAGGTAAACAGGAATGTATTATTGAACTTATGTTATGAACTGAGTGTTTGTGTACCCCCGAAATGTGTATGTTGAGGCCTTATCCCTCAGTGTGATAGTTGGGGCCTTTACAGAAGTAATTAAGGTTAAAAGAAGTGATAGTGGTGGAACCCTGATCTGATAGGACTGGTGTCCTTATAAGCAGACACACTGGAGTTCTAGTCTCCCTCTCTGTCTCTCTCGGAAAGGCCATGTGAGGGCTCAGTGAGAAAGCAGCCATCTGCAAGCCAGGAAGACAGCCCTCACCAGGAACCAAATTGTTCAGCCTTTTGATCTTGGATTTCTAGCCCCAGAACTGTGAAAAATAAATTTTTGTTGTGTAAGCTACCCAGCCTGTGGTATTTTGTTATGGTAGCTTTAGCAGACTAAGACACTTTACTAGGCCATATATTATTTATTATTGTGTCTATCATTAAGTCTACTTACTATGCCACTATATTAATAGGCCATCAATACATGTAATTAAATAAAATAATCAGAATTAAAAGCATTTAAAAAGTACAACAGAATTAAAGAATTAAAGAACCATTCAATATTCAAAAAGTTAATGTCAACATATTAAAAGATAAAATTATATTTTTACATTAGGGCATACTTATTATTCATTTTTGTGAATAAAGAGAGAAGTTATTCTTATTTCATAAATATTTATATAAATCCCAAAGCCTTTGGAAATATTTTCAGTACAACTTTAAAATCTCAATTCTGGAATTAAAAACTGAATTGAGAGTCAGCAAATTTTTTGAAATAAGATTATTTCTTTGAATAGAATAAACATATAAAAGTAAGAAACAACATGCTGGGACTTTTTTTCAGAAGAAAAAACCTCTTAGTTAATACATTCAAAGAATACTTTATAGAAGCAGTGAGAAGACATAGAACAGCAAAAGGATCACGGGAGAAAACTGTGGATTGGCAGATGGTCAGTGTTCCCAAGAGAGTGCAGAAAAGGGTTCCCGGGGAGCCTTCTTCCTCTACCCTTGTTATAGCCTCATCTGAGGCTCAGGCACCTCACAACTGCAAGAAAGATCCTGATGCAGCACTATGGGCTTTGGTCTCAATTTATCTTAGTGCATATCTCTTTTGAACTTCCTTAGCAATTCCCTCCTTATTCAGAAATCATAACCTATACATTTTAATCCCATTCTGGACATTGGCTCCCTTTTTATTATTTGAGCCTAAGTTGTTGTCTTTGCTTCCTGACACGCACTCCATGTCTCACCCCCATTGCTATTGGCAGGAAATTATTTCTACCCCACTGTCTAGTGCTTGAGGTCCCGTCGAGGGGGCAGTGATATTCCTAGTAACCACTGCCTGCTCCCTTGGTTAGATTTTTGCGTACTACTGATTCTTGGTTTCAGAGTCACAAATACTGTAATCTCATTCTCACTGTGTTGAATCTCCAAGGACAATCACTTGCCTATCACTCATTGAACTTTCCAGGTGCTATTTTATGCTTGCCACCACCTCCCATGGTCTTCCTCAGCTGGGACTACGCCCATGGTGTTTTCCTACTGCAGCTACTTTAAAGAGCCATTTCCTCCCCATCTGCTCTCCTGCTCACCTGCTACTTGGATAATCATCAGCCCCTCCCATTCCATGGCCTCTATCACAGCAAGTGGCATAACTAAAGGAGCGCTGGAAAGAAAATCTGGCTTTCCTTGTATTTGGTTAATGCATCTGTTAGGTAATGGTGTATGATGCTTTCAGATAGCAAGGAAATGCAGGCTACAAATAAAGCATTGGGTTCAAGAGGGAAGAATATTTTTAAAATATTATAGTAAGGATACAATTTATTGGTATTAATAAAAGTAAATGTGTTGCCTTCTATCCTCTGTTGAGTATTTTTCTACACTTTCTTTTACTAGGTGAGAACTAGCAACTTACCTTTAATTCCTACCCTCAGCATTCATTATGTGACAGAATTAAATTGTATTTTAAAGTTACAAATTTGATTTATTGTAAATATATTATTAAATTTTAAAACAACTTAAAAAAACTACTGTAGTTAACACAACTCAGATATATCCAAAACTATAGAAAGAGGAAGGAGATAAGATTGGACCAACACAGCATTAAGATTTACAAACTTCTCTGAAATAATACAGCATAAGGCAGTGATATACTTGTGTGAACCAACAATTTAGCAGCAACAACCAAAAAACAAACAAATAACTGGACTTATAGGCGAGAAAGAGTGCAGCTTAGCTGTCTAGGTCACATAGGTCTGAACAATATTTCTTTGGTTTTGTTAGAACTCAATTTTTAAACTGACATTATGATTCACTTAAAAAATCTAGTGTCAGTTAGCAACTTCCAAAAGTATTTTTAAGTACACACAGGTTCTGAAATTTTGGATCACAAGTATATAAAATAAAAGGTTTCTGTTGTCTGGTAACATTTTCAACGTATCGAACATTTCAAAATTACTAAAAGAAGAGATTTTTAACATTCTCACTATAAAAATAGTGAGATGATAGATATGTTAATCAATTTGATTAAATCTTTCTACAATGTATGTGTATATCAAAACATCACATTGTACCCCATAAGTAAAAATTTTTATTTGTCAATTAAAAATAAATTTGAAAAAGAGTGGCTGGGCACGGTGGCTCATGCCTGTAATCCCAGCACTTTGGGAGGCTGAGGTGGCTGTATCACCTGAGTCAGGAGTTTGAGACCAGCCTGGCCAACATGGTGAAACCCCATTTCTACTAAAAATACAAAAATCAGCCAGGTGGTGTGGCACACACCTGTAATTCCAGCTACTCGGGAGGCTGAGACAGGAGAATCACTTGAACCTGGGAGGTGGAGGTTGCAGTGAGCTGAGATCACACCACTGCCCTCCAGCCTGGGCAGCAGAGCAAGAGTCTGTCTCAAAAAAAAAAAAAAAAAAAAAGAGAGAAAGAAAGAAGAAAAGTTGAAAATACCATACTTCCTTATTTCAAATTATATTATAAAGCAATAGTAACCAATGAATATGCTACTGGCATAAAAACTGACCCAGAGTTCAATGGAACAATACTGAGAGCCTCCAACATAAACCTAAGCATATATTGTCAACAAAGGCACCAAGAAGACACAATGAGGAGAAGACATTGTCCTCAACAAGTGGTATTGGTTAAATGAGATCCACATGCAAAATATTTAAATAGTGCACTAATCTTAGATAATACACAAAATCATAAGAACTGAAACTGTAAAACCCCTAGAAGAAAACACAGGGGATAGCTTTGACAATGATTTTTTATTTATTTTTATATTTTTAATTTTTAATTGTTGTGAGTATATAGTAGGTGTATATATTTATGGGGATGCTTTGATACAAGCATGCAATGCATAATAATCACATCATGGAAGACAGAGTATCCATCCCCTCAAGCATTTATCCTTGTATTACAAACAATCCAATTATACTCTTTTAGTTATTTTAAAATGTATAGTTACCTTCTTGTGCTATCAAATACTAGGCCTTATTCATTCGTGCAAACCTTTGTTTTGTACCCAGTAACTATCCCAACCTCTGGCTCTGAGAGCCCTGTTACCCTTCCCAGCCTCTGGTAACTGTTCTTCTATTCTTTATCTCCGTGTGTTCAATTGTTTTAATTTTTAGATCCTACAAATAAACAAGAACATGTGATGTTTGTCTCCCTGTGCCTGGCTTATTTCACTTGACATAATGACCTCCAGTTCCATTTGTGTTATTGCAAATGACTGGATGTTGTTCTTTTTGTGGCTGAATAGTACTCCATTGTGTATATGTACCACATTTTCTTTATCCATTCGTCTGTTAATGGACATTTAGGGTGCTTCCAAATCTTCGCTATTGTATATGTGCTGCAACAAACACAGAGTGCAGATGTCTCTTTGATATACTGAATTCCTTTCTTTTGGATACATACCCAGCAGTGGAGGTAATAAATTTTTGTAGTTATTATACCAAAAGCTCAGGAAAAAATAGCAAAAGCAATAAAATATCAAAGTAAACTGATCTAAGCTAAACATCAAACTAAAAAGTTTCTGCACAGCAATGGAAAATTAACAAAATGAAAAGGCAGCCACAGAATAGGAGAAAATATTTGTGAACCCTATATATGATAAAAGATTAATAATCAAAATACATAAGGAGCTCATACATTCAATAGCAAAATAACAAATAACCTGGACAAAAAAATGGGCAATGGACCCGAATAGATATTTCTCCATAAAAGTAATGTGCAAGTATATGAGAAAGGTTCTCAACATCAAGGAATTGGAAACCAAAACCACAATAAGATACCATCTCACACCTGCTAGGATGGCTATTATTTAAAAAAGGCAAGAGATAACAAGTATTGGTGAGGATGTGGAGAAAAGGAAAAGCGTATATACAGATGGTGAGAATGTAAATTGGTGCAGCCATTATGGAAAGCAGTGTGGAGTTTCCTCAGAAAATTAAAAATAGAATTACAATAACACCTAGCAATCTGTCTTTGGGGGTTATACCCGAGAAAAATGAAATCTACACCTGAGGCTGGGTGCGGTGGCTCATGCCTATAATCCCAGCACTTGGGAGGCCAAGGTGGGTGGATCACTTGAGGTCAGGAGTTCAAGACCACCCTGGCCAACATGGTGAAACCCCGTCTCTACTAAAAATACAAAAATTAGCCAGGCATGGTGGTACACACCTGTAATCCCAGCTACTTGGGAGGCTGAGGCACGAGAATCCCTCGAACCCAGGAGGCAGAGGTTGCAGTGATCCGAGATCACACCAATGCACTCTGGCCTGGGCAATAGAGTGAGATTCTGTTTCAAAAAAGAAAAAAAAAAAAGAAAGACAGAAAAAGAAAAGAAACCTACACCCAATAGAGATATCTGCACTCCCAAGGTCATCGCAGGATTATTCATAGTAGCCAAGATATAGGAACCTAAATGCCCATTAACAGATGAAGCGATTAAAATAACGGATATATGTATATATACATATATATATCATATACCATGTATTATAAACATTAAATCTTTAAAACATTAAAACATATAATATATATCATGCTACATATTATACACATATAGAAACATAAGAATATGATATACACACATTATATACATACATATACACACAATGGAATACTATTCAGCCTTAAAAAGGAACCAAATGACATTATTGTGACACCATGGACAAATCTAGAGTACACTATGCTAAGCAAAATAAACCAGGCACAAAAAGACAAATTTTGCATGATCTCACTCATATGTGGAATCTAAAAAATTCAAGCTCACAGAATTAGAGAGTAGAATGGTGGTTACCACAGACAGGGTGGTGGTGGATGAGGAGAGCAGTATTAGTTAAACGGTACAATGTTTCAGTTGGGCAGGAGGAATACCTTCTGGTGATCCATCATAGAGCAAGGTGACTACAGTTAACAATAATGTATTGTATATTTGAAAAGTAACAGAAGATTGGATTTTAAATGTTCTTACCACAAAGAAATGGTAAGTATGTGGGGTGATGGATACATTAATTAGCCTGATTTGCCCATTCCACAATGTATACATGTATCAAAACATGACTTTGTACCCCATAAATATATAAAATTATATACATTTGTCAGTTAAAATAAAATTAAATTGAAAAAAGAAAAGAGAATAAGGCACTGTTTAATACAGGGGGCAAATTTAAATCTAACAGTAACCCTAGAGACAGGTATTATTTCTCCCATTTCCAGAGGCAACATGGGATTGGTTGCATAGAGGTTGGGAAACTTGCCCAAGGCTGATGAGCTGATGTCATTCACATCTGATCTGATTTCGGGGATGATTTAAGCATTGCTTTTGGGAGCTAGATGGCTGGACAGTTCCACAAGGTCAAGGCAAAGATCTGCAAGAAACAGAGAAGGGCTGAGATTCTGGTGTAGCCCACATAAACAAAAATGTAACTGAGTACTCCGGTTCTTAGGGAAAGGGGCTGGCAGGAGGAGGTCAATAATAGGTGACAGCCAGGCTTGTAGAAGGCTGGCCGGGGTCCCCACAAATGTGCCTCTGTGAGAATCAGGAAAGATACATTTTGCTCAATGCTGATATAGACTGGGGCAGGGCACAGAGGATGGGAATGGGGCTCAGGCTAGACATCAGCCCTGATAGTCCACCCTCTCTCCCTTGTGCAACACAGCACCTTCAGAAAGGTTGAACTACCTGGCTTGGATGCCAGCCAGGGGGCAGGAACCTGACGAGGGCCACTTGGATCAGAGGGACCTGGGCATGAGAGAGGAGGCAGAACAGCAGCAAACAGAAGGTCCTCAGTCCAGCCAGGCGGTGCAGGGTGTTGCCTCTGTGTGGGTGCTGCCTACCCCAGCTGCCCTCAGCTTCTCATTATTTCCCAAACCTGGTGTGACTGTGCTGAGACTCTATTCATTGGGCTGAGAGGAAGGAAAGGGCAGCTAGGAAAGGTTAGGGGAGCACGCAGTATCATGGTAAGAAGGTGTGTCTTCAAGTGGGCTTATAGCTTTTTCCACAGTTCTGTCTCTACTCCTACCTAAATGTCAATTTCTTTATTCACAACTGGTGCTTCTAGCTATTGTTGATGTCTCCTCAGTTTGTTTCACCTATATCTTTAAATCTTTTTAGAATAAATTACTCTTAGGACATTTTTGGCATCCAAATTTGGAAGAATAACTATCCTTCAAGGTTATAAATTAAAACATATATTTAAACAACCTTCACCATTATTGAAAGTAAAAATTATATTTTGAATGACTTTAGAAGCTTTGCAATAAAGTTCTAATTACCTCTGATTCAAAAAGTCTAAGTGCTAATTATAAAATATTCTAAGGTGTATTCGCTGTCACTTGATGAAGATGAAGGTGGCACTTTATTGCTAACTGTAATGTTAAACTATTCTTAGAACAATACAATTATAAAACAAAAATTTCTCTAAAATATATAAAATGTGAAAACTAATAAATTAATCAAATACTTATTAAGTTGATAGACTAAATGCAATTTTTCAAAATGACTCTGAAAAACAAACCTGTTGGGTGCAGTTTTATTTTGAGGTAGGGAAGCCTGTAATATAGTAATCACTGCTGGAAAGAGCCCAATTCAATATCTTGTTGATCTCAAAAAATAATTTTATGCTCTAATTAAATTCATGGTTTTAAATTAAAAGTTGATACAAAAAAACACCAAGGGATTTAATAATGCAAAAGAGAGAAAGGAAATTAGAACTGGGAGAAAAAAAATGATGACTCTTGCTGGAGAAAAGAGAATGGCCATAAGGAAGGTGATCACTTTGTTATTTATTACTGCAGATGGCAATTTTGTTTAAGGAAGGAAAAATATTAATGAATTGGATATCCAGATACACATTGAGGTTGCCTGAAGTGTTTGAGGCATTACTTTAAATATTATTAAAAAATTATAAATTTACACAAAGAGTATTTTTGAAAGTTATCCTGAAAAACCTAGAATTGACTTTTATAACAAAGCACATATTAAAAAGGTGACTAAAACCTTTGAAAAACAATGTGTCTATTTTGAAAAGAAGGATGTCTTTGTAAATTAAAACTCAGCAAGATCTAATAAACACAATTGTACATGTTTTTTGATCAAACAAATAGTAGGATTTAGATCAGAGGTCTTTAAGCAACAAATTTACTTAAAAGAATCTAAGAAAATTTCCAAAGAAAATTCTGGACACCATGTTGAGTAGCCATCATAAGGTAACCCAGGTATGCCTATTGTGACCAAACTGCGAAGTCACCCTGGAAGTTAATTTTCCTTCCACTATGGATCAAATGTTTGTGCTCCTCCCTGTCATTCACCTGTTGATACCCAACCTCCAGTGTGATGGAATTTGGAGGTGGAGACTTTGGGAAGCAATTCAGTTATGAGGGCAGAGAAACCTCATGAATGGGATTAGTGCCCTTATCAAAGAGAGTCCAGAAAGCTGCCTCACCGCTTCCTCCATGTGAGGACACAGCTAGAAGGTGCCCAATATGAACCAGGAAGAGTCCTTAGGAAACAAAAATCTGCTAGCACCTTGATCTCAAACTTCCAACCTCCAGAACTACAAAACATAAACGTCTGTTGTTTACAAGCCACCTGGTCCATGGCATTTGTTACTGCAGTGTGACTGGACTGAGACACCTCTCATGTTTTATCTGAGCAGAAAGCAATTGAGGGCTGGTTTGGTGATTTTCCTCCATAAAATGCTCAGGGAGCCAGGATCCTGCATTTTTCCAGTCCCCTGCAAAACTTCAGCCTTCTTATCCCCAGTTCAAGCAACATCAAGAACACTTCCTAGAAGTTGGACAGGCAAGTTCTCCTTCCATTAGCCATAACTTCATCACAGGCCACACCCACAAAACAATTTCAAAAATGTAACCTTTGCCTGGGGAGTGGGCTTGTGCCACCTTGACTTTTGGTTTGTTAAGCAGTGAGGAATATCCAGGGAATTAAGAGGTCAATCAAATAAGTATTTGGATATTTTACCTGCTCCTCCTCTTTTCTGTAGATAAAAATATTTAGTTTGAAGGGTTAAGAATATTTAGCTTGAAGGGTTAACATTTAGTTTTATAAGTCAGAAAAAGTATTCTCCAAAATCCCCATCTAACTGATATTTCTATTATATGTCACTCACATATAAAAATGTTGCTTTTTATCTTACACTACACTATGAAACGATTTCTTTTAACTTAGGGATGTAAATATTTAATATATTGAGTAAATAAAATTATTTTTATAATACTGATTTTGTATTGTAATCATAATTTTAAAATTTTTATGGAACACTGTTAGGATTTAATTGATCAAATTTGACTAAATTATGGCTATATATGTCAACTTAAAGGTATTTGGAAATTGAAAGCTAGTCCATGAGAAAGAGAAAGTAAGCTAGTACTTTTCCCAGAATGTCCATCCCTGCTTGGTGTAATTGGATGGAGGCCACCAGGTACAGAAGCAGTGGAGCTGGTGTGTTCTGGTTTATCCTCACTTCCTGAACTTTCTGTCCAACTCTACTTTGACCTGGATTCTAACAAGAGGGAGGAGCCACAATGCCCCCCTGGACCATGCCACTCCAGCAGCAGGAAGTACTGACCTTCTGGTGAGTTCTCTCTAGTTCTTCCTTCACCAGGGCTGGCAGGCATCTTATCTCTGATCCTTCCTAGATAGTTACTTCATCAAATCCACTCACAGCTACATAAGGACCATTTCCTATAATAATTTTTATTTCATGCCATTCTATAATCTCAACTTTCTTCTACCAATATTCACTATCTGTAATGTAGAGGTTTATATGTAGTATAGGTAAAGGTAATCTTTTCATTGAAACAATTTCACAACCAGTGATTCTTACTACTTTATGTGGCACGTGAAGGGAATTC